>NC_000005.10:97382534-97685564 GCF_000001405.40 Homo sapiens | reverse complement strand
AGTAAGCTCTTTTTCTGAGTACAGTTTATCTTTTTTACAGTGATTATAATAACAAAAATTAACATTTACTAAAAACTTATTCTGGGATTGAGACCATGATAAGGACTTTTCATGCATTATGTCATTAAATATGTTACTTATATCCAGAAATAATATTCAAATAGTTACAACTGTTACAGCACAGGCACAGTGTCACAGCCCTCAGAGTAACTATTTCAGGCTTCTTACTTGCAGTAGAACATAATCTTATGACTAACAACCTCAAACTCAAGTACGCATCACAGATATTTAATTTCTCTAACATATTAGGGTTTTACCCAGTCATAATACACCGCACAACATCACACTTAAATTTATTTGCAAGTCAAAACTTAGTCTCTCTTCTACTAGACCTAACTTTATTAGACAAAAAGAATACCAAAAAATACTGCCCAAATTCAAATTATAGCCTCCACCATTGTATCTACCCAGAAAAGCCTAATTAAGCTCTCCTTTTTCTCTTTTCTTACTCCCTCTCTCCTAACACTATTCTTAATTATTTAACCCTGTTCCCTCACGTAATCTCAATCACAATAAAAATACTAACAGAGATCAACCAGCAACCACCACCAATTAACATCCATAACTGTATAAGGCACCTACACCCATAGAATCCTCACAAAGTAATCCTATTCCTTCACCCTCAAAGATCACCCAGTTTTCTATATTCTTAAAATCAATTACAATAGCCAAACAAAAGGCAGCAGAAACCTCTGCAGACTTAAATGTCCCTGTCTGACAGCTTTGAAGAGAGTAGTGGTTCTCCCAGCACGGAGTTGGAGATCTGAGAACAGACAGACTGCCTACTCAAGTGGGTCCCTGACACCCGAGTAGCCTAATTGCGAGGCACTCCCAAGTAGGGGTAGACTGACAACCCACACAGCCGGGTACTCCTCTGAGACGAAACTTCCAGAGGAACGATCAGGCAGCAACATTTGCTGTTCAGCAATATTCACTGTTCTGCAGCTTCCGCTGCTGATACCCAGGAAAACAGGGTCTGGAGTGGACCTCCAGCAAACTCCAACAGACCTGCAGCTGAGGGTCCTGACTGTTAGAAGAAAAACTAACAAACAGAAAGGACATCCACACCAAAACCCCATCTGTACGTCATCATCATCAAAGACCAAAGGTAGATAAAACCACAAAGATGGGGAAAAAACAGAGCAGAAAAACTGAAAATTCTAAAAAATCAGAGTGCCTCTCCTCGTCCAAAGGAACGCAGCTCCTCACCAGCAACGGAACAAAGCTGGATGGAGAATGACTTTGATGAGTTGAGAGAAGAAGGCTTCAGACGATCAAACTTCTCCGAGCTAAAGGAGAAAGTTCGAACCCATCACAAACAAGATAAAAACCTTGAAAAAAGGTTAGAAGAATGGCTAACTAGAAGAATCAATGTAGAGAAGTCCTTAAATGACCTGATGGAGCTGAAAACAATGGCATGACAGCTACGTGACAAATGCAAAAGCTTCAGTAGCCGATTTGATCAACTGGAAGAAGCGGTATCAGTGATTGACCATCAAATGAATGAAATGAAGCAAAAAGAGAAGTTTAGAGAAAAAAGAGTAAAAAGACATGAACAAAGTCGCCAATAAATATGGGACTATGTGAAAAGACCAAATCTACGTCTGATTGGTATACCTGAAAGTGACAGGGAGAATGGAACCAAGTTGGAAAACACTCTGCAGGATATTATCCAGGAGAACTTCCCCAATCTAGCAAGACAGGCCAACATGCAAACTCAGGAAATACAGAGAATGCCATAAAGATACCTCTTGAGAAGAGCAACTCCAAGACACATAATTGTCAGATTCACCAAAGTTGAAATGAAGGAAAAAATGTTAAGGGCAGCCAGAGAGAAAGGTCAGGTTACCCACAAAGGGAAGCCCATCAGACTAACAGCAGATCTCTTGGCAGAAACGCTACAAGCCAGAAGAGAGTGGGGGCCAATATTCAACATTCTTAAAGAAAAGAACCTTCAACCCACAATTTCATATCCAGCCAAACTAAGCTTCATAAGTGAAGGAGAAATAAAATACTTTACAGACAAGCAAATGTTGAGAGATTTTGTCACCACCAGGCCTACCCTAAAAGAGCTCCTGAAGGAAGCACTAAACATGGAAAGGAAAAACCGGTACCAGCCACTGCAAAAACATGCCAAAATGTAAAGACCATCAAGGCTAGGAAGAAACTGCATCAACTAACGAGCAAAATAACCAGCTAACATCATAATGACAGGATCAAATTCACACATAACAATATTAACCTTAAATGTAAATGGGCTAAATGCTCCAATTAAAAGACACAGACTGGCAAATTGGATAAACAGACAAGACCCATCAGTGCGCTGTATTGAGGAAACCCATCTCACGTGCAGAGAAACACACAGGCTCAAAATAAAGGAATGGAGGAAGATCTACCAAGCAAATGGAAAACAAAAAAAGGCAGGGGTTGCAATCCTAGACTCTGATAAAACAGACTTTAAACCAACAAAGATCAAAAGAGACAAAGAAGGCCATTACATAATGGTAAAGGAATCAATTCAACAAGAAGAGCTAACCATCCCAAATATATATCCACCCAATACAGGAGCACCCAGATTCATAAAGCAAGTCCTTAGTGACCTACAGAGAGACTTAGACTCCCACACAATAATAATGGGAGACTTTAACACCCCACTGTCAATATTAGACAGATCAACGAGACAGAAAGTTAACAAAGATACCCAGGAATTGAACTCAGCTCTGCACCAAGCAGACCGAATAGACATCTATAGAACTCTCCACCCCAAATCATCAGAATATACATTCTTTTCAGCACCACACCACACCTATTCCAAAATTGACCACATAGTTGGAAGTAAAGCACTCCTCAGCAAATGTAAAAGAACAGAAATTCTCTCAGACCACAGTGCAATCAAACTAGAACTCAGGATTAAGAAACTCACTCAAAACCACTCAACTACATGGAAACTGAACAACCTGCTCCTGAATGACTACTGGGTACATAATGAAATGAAGGCAGAAATAAAGTTGTTCTTTGAAACCAACAAGAACAAAGACACAACATACCAGAATCTCTGGGACACATTTAAAGCAGCGTGTAGAGGGAAATTTGTAGCAGTAAATGCCCACAAGAGAGAGCAGGAAAGATCTAAAATTGACACCCTAGCATCACAATTAAAAGAACTAGAGAAGCAAGAGCAAACACATTCAAAAGCTAGCAGAAGGCAAGAAATAACTAAGATCAGAGCAGAAATGAAGGAGATAGAGACACAAAAACCCTTCCAAAAATCAATGAATCCAGGAGCTGGTTTTTTGAAAAGATCAACAAAATCGATAGACCTCTAGCAAGACTAATAAAGAAGAAAAGAGAGAAGAGTCAAATAAACGCAATAAAAAACGATAAAGGGGATATCACTGCCGATCCCACAGAAATACAAACTACCATCACAGAATACTATAAACACCTCTATGCAAATAAACTAGAAAATCTAGAAGCAATGGATAAATTCCTTGACACATACACCCTCCCAAGAATAAACCAGGAAGAAGTTGAATCTCTGAATAGGCCAATAACAGGCTCTGAAACTGAGGCAATAATTAATAGCTTACCAACCAAAAAAAGTCCAGGACCAGATGGATTAACAGCTGAATTCTACCAGAGGTACAAGGAGGAGCTGGTACCATTCCTTCTGAAACTATTCCAATCAATAGAAAAAGAGCGAATCCTCCCGAACTCATTTTATGAGGGCATCATCCTCCTGATACCAAAGCCTGGCAGAGACAACACAAAAAAAGATAATTTTAAACCAATATCCCTGATGAACATGGATGCAAAAATCCTCAATAAAATACTGGCAAACCGAATCCAGCAGCACATCAAAAAGCTTATCCACCATGATCAAGTGGGCTTCATCCCTGGGATGCAAGGCTGGTTCAACATATGCAAATCAATAAATGTAATCCAGCATATAAACAGAACCAAAGACAAAAACCACATGATTATCTCAACAGATGCAGGAAAGGCCTTTGACAAAATTCAACAGCCCTTCATGCTAAAAACTCTCAATAAATTAGGTATTGATGGGATGAATCTCAAAATAATAAGAGCTATTTATGACAAACCCACAGCCAATATCATACTGAATAGACAAAAACTGGAAGCATTCCCTTTGAAAACTGGCACAAGACAGGGATGCCCTCTCTCACCACTCCTATTCAACATAGTGTTGGAAGTTCTGGCCAGGGCAATCAGGCAGGAGAAGGAAATAAAGGGTATTCAATTAGGAAAAGAGGAAGTCAAATTGTCCCTGTTTGCAGATGACATGATTGTATATCTAGAAAACCCCATCGTCTCAGCCCAAAATCTCCTTAAGCTGATAAGCAACTTCAGCAAAGTCTCAGGATACAAAATCAGTGTGCAAAAATCACAAGCATTCTTATACACCAATAACAGACAAACAGAGAGCCAAATCATGAGTGAAATCCCATTCCCAATTGCTTCAAAGAGAATAAAATACCTAGGAATCCAACTTACAAGGGATGTGAAGGACCTCTTTAAGGAGAACTGCAAACCACTGCTCAAGGAAATAAAAGAGAACACAAACAAATGGAAGAACATTCCATGCTCATGGATAGAAAGAATCAATATTGTGAAAATGGCCATACTGCCCAAGGTAATTTATAGTTTCAATGCCATCCCCATCAAGCACCCAATGACTTTCTTCACAGAATTGGAAAAAACAACTTTAAAGTTCATATGGAACCAAAAAAGAGCCCGCATCACCAAGTCAATCCTAAGACAAAAGAACAAAGCTGGAGGCATCACGCTACCTGAATTCAAACTATACTACAAGACTACAGTAACCAAAATAGCATGGTACGGGTAACAAAACAGAGATATAGACCAATGGAACAGAACAGAGACCTCATAAATAATACCACACATCTACAACCATCTGATCTTTGACAAACCTGACAAAAACAAGAAATGGGGAAAGGATTCCCTATTTAATAAATGGTGCTGGGAAAACTGGCTAACCATATGTAGAAAGCTCAAACTGGATCCCTTCCTTACACCTTATACAAAAATTAATTCAATATGGATTAAAGACTTAAATGTTAGACCTAAAACCATAAAAACCCTAGAAGAAAACCGAGGCAATACCATTCAGGACATAGGCATGGGCAAGGACTTCATGTCTAAAACACCAAAAGCAATGGAAACAAAAGACAAAATTGACGAATGGGATCTAATTAAACTAAAG
The DNA here is from genome assembly GCF_000001405.40 of Homo sapiens. Taxonomy (NCBI): domain Eukaryota; kingdom Metazoa; phylum Chordata; class Mammalia; order Primates; family Hominidae; genus Homo; species Homo sapiens. The sequence continues at coordinate 97,680,259 of NC_000005.10, read as the reverse complement.
AGCTTCTGCACAGCAAAAGAAACCACCATCAGAGTGAACAGGCAACCTACAGAATGGGAGACAATTTTTGCAATCTACTCATCTGACAAAGGGCTAATATCCAGAATCTACAAAGAACTCAAACAAATCTACAAGAAAAAAACAAACAACCCCATCAACAAATGGGCAAAGGATAGGAACAGACACTTCTCAAAAGAAGACATTTATGCAGCCAAAAGACACATGAAAAAATGCTCATCATCACTGGCCATCAGAGAAACGCAAATCAAAACCACAATGAGATACCATCTCACACCAGTTAGAATGGCGATCATTAAGAAGTCAGGAAACAACAGGTGCTGGAGAGGATGTGGAGAAATAGGAACACTTTTACACTGTTGGTGGGACTGTAAACTAGTTCAACCATTGTGGAAGTCAGTGTGGTGATTCCTCAGGGATCTAGAACTAGAAATACCATTTGACCCAGCCATCCCATATCTGGGTATATACCCAAAGGATTATAAATCATGCTGCTATAAAGACACATGCACATGTATGTTTATTGTGACATTATTCACAATAACAAAGACTTGGAACCAACCCAAATGTCCAACAATGATAGACTGGATTAAGAAAATGTGGCACATATACACCATAGAATACTATGCAGCCATAAAAAATGATGAGTTCATGTCCTTTGTAGGGACATGGATGAAGCTGGAAACCATCATTCTCAGCAAACTATTTCAAGGACAAAAAACCAAACACTGCATGTTCTCACTCATAGGTGGGAATTGAATGATGAGAACATTTGGACACAGGAAGGGGAACATCACACACTGGGGCCTGTTGCGGGGTTGGGGGAGGGGGGAGGGATAGCATTGGGAGATATACCTAATGTAAATGACGAATTAATGGGTGCAGCACACCAACATGGTATATGTATACATATGTAACAAACCTGCACGTTGTGCACATGTACCCTAAAACTTAAAGTATAATAATAATAAAATTTTTTAAAAAAAAGCAAGTGGAGGTATAACCAGACCATAGCCTACATTTGTGCCAATCACCGAGTTTTGGCCAATCAAATGTAGACAACTGTTCAAACTGTGTTCAAATAAGGCAAACGCTGATCTGTAACCAATCCAGCTGTTTCTGTATCTCATTAAAAAAAAATCAATTACAATTTCCACGTCATCATAATCAATTATTCACATAACTAACACCAACTCTAACAGCAACCCTAATAGCAAAGCACCCCACAGAGCAACACTTGTCCCTCAGGTCTCAGGGTATTCCTCAGTAGCTGTCACTGTCATATAACCAAAAATGACCATTATTGCCCCCAAATAAATTTAAAAAAAACTATTAAACCTACAAAAGCCCCACCAAGTTTAATACAATGCTGCAACCCCCTCCCCCACTAATAATTAACCCCAATCCCCCATAAATAGGAGAAGGCTTTGAAGAGAGCCCCACAAGGCCTATAACAAGAGTAATAATAAAAATACAACATATGTTCTAATTCTTAAATGGAATATAACTATGACTAATGACATGAAAAATCATCATTGTACTTCAATTATAAGAACCCTAATGACTAACACTCATGAGATGCACCCCTTAATAAAAATGATTAACCACTCGTTTATTGACCTACCTGCACCATCAGACATCTCTGCATGGTGAAACTTCAACTCGCTTCTAGATATTTGCCCGGTCCTTCAAATCGGTACAGGGTTATTCCTAGCTATACATTACAAGTTAGATACTTCAACTACCTTCTCCTTAGTCACACGCATTTGCTGAGATGTAAATTACAGCTGAGTTATCCGCTACCTACGTGCTAGTGGGGCTTCAATATTCTTCATCTGCCTATTTCTACATGTAGGCTGAGGCTTATACTACAGATCATTCACCTTCCTAGAAACTTGAAATATTGGCATTATTCTTCTATTTGCGGTTATAGCAACAGCATTCATAGGTTACATACTTCCATGAGACCAAATATCGTTCTGAGGTTCAACAGTACTGACAAATGTACTATCAGCCACCCCATAATTGGAACCAACCTTGTACAATGAATCTGAAGTGGATTCTCAGTTGATAAAGCCAACTTTATATGATTCTTCACTTTCCATTTTATCCTACCTTTTATTATCACAGCCCTAGTAGCCATCCACCTCTCATTCCTACATGAAACAGGATCTAATAACCCCTCAGGAATTTCATCAGACTGACAAAATCCCATTTCACCCTAATTACACAATTAAAGATATTCTAGGCTTAATTCCACTTCTCCTGCTCCTGCTAATTCTAGTTCTATTCTCACGTGACTTCCTAGGAGGCCCAGACATCTACACCCCAGCAAACCCCCTTAGCACTCTGCCCCATATCAAACCGGAGTGGTACTTTTTATTTGCCTATGCAACCCTACAGTCTATCCCAAACAAACTAGGGGGTGTACTAGCCCTTGTGTTTTCTATCCTCATTCTAGCAATTATCCCAATACTTCATATATCTAAACAACGAAGTATGACATTCCAACAATTAAGTCAGTGTTTATTCTGAATCTTAGTGGCTGACCTATTCACACTTACTTGAATCGGAGAACAACCCATCAAACACCCTTTCATCATTCATCAGACAAACTGCATTCGTTGCATATTTTTCTATTATTCTTATTTTTATACCAGTCACCAGCTTAATTGAAAACAAACTACCTAAATGAAGATGTCCTCGTAGTATAACTTTATTACTCTAGTCTTGTAAACCAAAAATGGAGGATTTCCTCCCCAGGACAACCTCAGGGAAAAAGCATCCCACTTCACCACCAGCTCCCAAAGCTGAAATTCTACTTAAACTACTCCCTGCATCCTTTAATGACCAATTAGAACAAATGCTAGCCATAAACAGCCAGTAAATCCAAACAGGGGGTGCTAGTGAGTATCAGCTGTTTGTATACGACTTTATTTATTTTCTGTTACTTCTCATGCAATCAGAGGTCCATGAAGATTTGTAGGTAGGTTAATAATTCATTGTAGATATCACTTAACCTTAGCAGGAAATCAGATGTCTATTTCACCTCTATTTCCTTGGGAATTAGGCCAGTGTCAACCATATAGAAAGTGCTTGTGAATATTTGTAGAATAAACAAAAAAAAATACTAAAGTGCTTTTAGGTATTGCATACTTTTTGTGTGCCAGACACAACATCAGATATTTTTATTGTATTATTTCAATTCATATAACAATACCACCAGAAGGCATTATGACAACAATATTACTGTTGAGAAAACCTAGACAAATAGAGGCTAAACAATAACGGTGTTAATGTGTTGATAGAAAGAGATTCGGACCAGTTATGCACAACTACTTAGATGCAGTTGCTCACAAGAAACTCCACAAGGTGAGTGATGATGGTAAGCATTCACCCACAAGAAAAGCAAGAAATGGCTGGGGACAGTAGCACTCATGTAGAAAGTGACTCAAAAAAGTGTGAGGAACTGATTCTAGTCCTTTAACACTGCATTTTTTTTTTTTTTGGTCTTTCTCTTTTTTTAAATAGCGAGTGGGTAAATGGTAATGTTTGTTGGTCCCATGTTTTATTTTGGTCCCATGTTGGTCCCATGTTTTATTTCTAGTGGTAATAAAAAAGAGATGCATACATGAAGAAAAAACAGGAGATTTAGTCCACACGTGGAACAGAACAAAACCCACAACTTCTAACCAATGAGGATGAAAAAATTGTGACCATTTATTTCTGGGTTTCTATTCTGTTCCATTGGTTTATATATCTATTTTTGTACCAGTACCACACTGTTTTGGTTACTGTAACCCTGTAGTATAGTTCAAAGTCATGTAGCATGATGCCTCCAGTTTTGTTCTTTTTGCTTAGGATTACCTCATCTATTCAGGCTCTTTCTTGGTTCCACATGAATTTTAAAGTAGCTTTTTTCTAGTTATGTGAAGAATCTCAATGGTAGTTAAATAAAAATAGTGTGTATAGGAATTTGTAGGAATCTATAAATTTCTTTGAGCAGTATGTCCATTTTAATGATATTGATTCCTCCTATTCATGAGCATGGAATGTTTTTCAATTTGTTTGTGACATCTCTGATTCCTTTCAGCAGTGTTTTGTAGTTCTCATTGTAGAGATCTTTAACCTCCCTAGTTAGCTGTGTTTTTAGGTATTTTATTCTTTTAGTGGAAATTGTGAATGGGAGTACGTTCCTGATCTGGTTCTCAGCTTGACTGTTCTTGGTGTAAAGAAATTCTAGTGATTTTTGCACATCCATTTTATTTCCTGGGACATTTCTGAAGCTGATTATCAGCTTAAGAAGCTTTTGAGCTGAGACTTTAAGGTTTTCTAGATAAACTTATGTCATCCACAAACAGGGATTGTGTTATCAGCAAACAGATGACATAATCTCATATCTATACTATCCCTCTTCCTATATGGATGTCCTTTATTTCTTTCTCTCGCTGATTGTCCTGGGCAGGACTTCCAATACTATGTTGAATAGGAGTGGTGAGAGGGCATCTTTGCTGTGTTCCAGTTTTCAAGGAAAATGTTTCCAGCTTTTGCTCTTTTAGTATGATGTGGGCTGTGGATTTGTCAAATATGGCTCTTACTATTTTGAGGTACGTTCCTGCAGTGCTTAGTTTACTGAGACTTGTTAACATAAATTGATATTTAATTTCATCAAAAGCCTTTTCTTCATATATTGAGATAATCACGTGGTTTTTGTCTTTAGTTCTGTTTATGTGATGAATCACATTTATGGATTTGTGTATGTTGAGCCAACCTTGCATCCCAGGGGTAAAGCCTATTTGATTTTGGTGGATAACTTTTTGATATGCTGCTGGATTTGCTTTGCCAGTATTTTGTTGAGGATTTTTGCATCAATGTTCATCAAAGATATTGGCCTGAAGTTTTCTTTTTTTGTTTTATCTCTGCCTGATTTTGGTATTATAATGATGCAGGCCTCATAGAATGAATTACAGAGGAGTCCCTTCTCCTCATTTTTTTGAAATAATTTTAGTAGGAATGGTACCAGCTCCTCTTTGTTCATCTGGTAGAATTCAGGTATGAATCCATCTGGTTCTGGGCTTTTTCTTTTTGGTTGACACCCTATTTATTACTGCCTCAATTTCAGAGCTTGGTATTGGTCTGTTCAGGGATTCAATTTCTTCCTGGTTCAGGCATGGGAGGGTGCATGTGTCCAGGAATGCATCCATTTCTTCTAAATTTTCAAGTTTATGTGCATAGAGGTATTCATAATATTTTCTGGTGATTATTTGTATTTCTGTGGGGTCAGTGGTAAGATCCCCCTTGCCATTTCAGATTGTGTTATTTGAACCTATTCAATAAATGGTGCTTGGAGAACTGGCTAGTCATATGCAGAAGATTGAAACTGGACCCATTCCTTATGCCATATACAAAAATTAACTCAAGATGGATTAAAGACTTAAACGTAAAACTCAACACTGTAAAAATCCTGGAAGACCACCTAGGCAATACCATTCAGGACATAGGCACAGGCAAAGATTGCATGAGGCAGATGCCAAAAAGCAATTGCAACAAACAGAAAAATTGATAGTGTTAATCTAATTAAACTAAATAGTTTCTGTACAGCAAAAGAAACTATCAACAGAGTAAATAGACAACTACATCATGGGAGAAAATTTTGGCAAACTATGTATCTCACAAAGGTCTAATATCCAGCATCTATAAAAAACTTAAAACAAATTTACAAGAAGAAAACAACAAACAGCCCCCATTAAAAAGTGAGAAAAGGACATGAATAGACACTTCTCAAAAGAAGACATAGATGCAGCCAACAAGCATATGAAAAAATGCTCAACATCGGTAATCATTAGAGAAATGCAAATCAAAACCACAACAAGACACCATATCACACCAGTCAGACTGGCTATTACTAAAAAGTCACAAAACAACATATTGGTGAGGTTGTGGAGAAAAAGGAATGCTTATACACTATTGGTGGGAATGTAAATTAGTTCAACCATTGTGGAAGACAGTGTGGTAATTCTTCGAAGTCCTAAAGACGGAAATACCATTCAACCCAGCAATCCCATTACGGAGTATACATCCAAAAGCATACAAATCATTCTGTTATAAAGACACATGCACACATATGTTTATTGCAGCACTATTCACAATAGCAAAGATGTAAAGTCAACCTAAATGCTCATCAATGATAGACTGGATAAAGAAATTGTGTTACATATACACCATGGAATATTATGCAGCCATAAAAAGAGAACAAGATCATGTTCTTTGCAGGGGCATGGATGGAGCTGGAGGCCATTATCCTTAGGAAACTAATGCAGTAACAGAAAACAAAATACCACATTTCTTACTTACAAGTGGGAGATAAATGGACGCATAAAGGGGAACAACATACACATAGGCCTATTGGAGAGTGGAGGGTGGGAGGACAGAAAGGATCAGGAAAAATAACCAATGCATACTAAGCTTAATATCTGGGTGATCAAATAACCTGTACAACAAAGCCCCATGACAGTTTACCTATATAACAAACCTGCACATGTACCCCTGAACTTAAAAGTTAAAAAAAAAAAGCAGGGAGCCTGAAAGAGAGTAGAGCTTTCTCCCTATAATCATGGATCTCTTTTCAGGCATATACTTTATTTGCAGGCATATCATGAAGTATAAATATATTAGTTAACAAAAAAAAAAGTGACCATAAAAATGTTCCTTACAAAATCTAGAACTTTCTGTGTTGATTTTGAGCTGACTAAAAAATTGCTAGACAAATGCTGATCAGCTTCCACTGCCCGTGATATCTAAGTACACCATGAATACACACTGAGACCTTGGGCTAAAATGCCTCCACATCATTTCTTTCCATACCTTATTTGAATTTTAGAGCATAAAACTTTACAAAATAAAGTGATCCCTCACAAAAGCACAGCAATTGAGTGCACCTGTGGTAGGCTGTTCTCACTGAATATTGTTTTTAAAGACCACAATAATCCTCTGGGTTTTTTTTCACTTGATCCTTTTATGGGTTTTGTGTTGTAGGCTGCATATTACATGAAATTTAATCAAGAAGCTACTTTTTTGTGTAACTAAATGGAAATCTGGGCATCTGCTTTGTCAGTGACCTTTGACTGACCCTGGCTCACTATAGCCAGGTATATAAAAAAATTAAAGGTTTTATGTCAGAAGCTAAGAAAAATGGCTATTGGTGTCCCAGCTCCATTCTTTGCTGCGTGGATGTAGAGTTCTGGTTTCTTTCTCATTGCAAATTGGGCAAAGGCCCTTCCAAATGTTTTGTGTCCCCTTCCCATAAATCAAAAATTCAGTTTTGACTGTATGGCAAACTTGCATGTGTTTTTCTGGGTGGTAGATAGACCTATTCTTAGCTTGTCTGATCTACACTTTTTAACTTTAGTTTTAGATATTTGTAACTTTATTTTCAAAGGCACATTCTCAAAGGTAAACCCAGACTGTTGTTTTCAGAGTTAGTAGTAATGAAGTATCTAATACATTTTACAAGAAGTAGTCCCTTAGATTTCTATAGGGTAACCCTCTGGGATTTTGACACACTTTGTTTCTGTACATCTTCTCCTGGAATTCTTTGGTATATTAGTCAGGGTTTTCCATTGAAACAGAACCAATAAGACACATACACACACACACACATGCACACACATACACATGCACACACATGTGTATAAATAAGATTTATAAGGAACTGACACACATGATTGTGGAGGCTGAGAAGTCTCATGATCTGCTGTCTGAAAGTTGGAAGTCCAGGGAGCCAGTAGTGTAGTTCCAGGTTAAGTGCAGGAGAACAATGTTCCATCTCTAAAGCAGGTAGAGAGAGTAAATTCTCCCTTATCCCACATTTTGTTCTATTTGGGCCTCCAAAGGATTGGACAATGCCCATTCACATTATGGGAGACAATCTGCTTTACTCATTCTACCAAATCATATGTTAATCTCATCCAGAAACACCCTCACAGACATACTCAGAATAATGTGTAGTCAAATAGCTGGGCATCCCATCTCCCAGTCAATTCGACAAACAAAATTAACCATCAAAATTTGGTAGCTCCAGTCTCTAAAACTCAAGAAAATACAAGAGCTAGAGTTCTATTGATCTAGTCAGATTTAATCTTAGAGCAAGGCTAGAAACTTTGTGTTCCTTAAAAAGGATGCCCGTATCTCTCGAATTTCATACCCAGAACACAGCACAGTGCTAGAAAACGGTGAGTAACCAGTAAATGATGAATTAATCACTGTGCTATGAGAAGTTCAAGTGAGTGTGGGTTTATGTAATTTTATGTTAACAAAGTGAGAACATCTACATTACCTTCTCTTACCCCTGCAGCTCTCTAAAAACCAGCATCTACATCAAATGGATAGAAATTCTATATAGAATTCTACATGGAAGGAAACCAAGATACCAGCAATCTAGCTAATATTTATATTTCTTGTAGTACCCATTTAGATATGCTCAGAGCAAAATGGGTTTCACATTGAGCCTTCGATAGATGCCTCCCTAAGCTAGACATGATCTCTTTCATTTCCTGTTTTCTAATTTACTTGTTAGTTCAATAGAAAGTCAATATTACAGAATCATAGGTTTTCATTTTCTTAATTTTTCCTTTGACGGGAAAACTGATATCTCAGTAAGAGTGAATTCAAAGATGCCAAAAGATCACATTTCTATCCAGTTGTTTTCTGAGCTTTTACCAAGAAATAAAAGAAAATACAAATGAACACAGAACTAGTATCAGAGTGCAAGTTCACATCTAGTATGTAGAACTGATTTTCTGACAATCTCCAAAAAATAACCATATTTGCTGTATTAATAAATAAATGCAGAAATGAGCCTTGGGTTTATCTTGGCTCCAGACAGGCTTTCTTGGCCTGTCAGAACCAAGTGAATTGTCTACAGAAAGCCTTCCATCAAAGCTTCCTTGAGCACCACGTCTACGGAAGGGACCCCAAAGAATTGCAAAAGATAGATAAGCAATATGTAATATTAATAAGTGGCCCAAACTGGACAAGTTAAATCTTCCAAATGCTGCCCCCAGTAACTCTAAACTAGCTGTTGATTCCTTTACAGCCCAACTGGGAAGCCACATGGTTAGTCTAGCCCACAAAAAGTTATATTATCTATCAACTGCAGGGATCATATTAGCAACATATCTTTACTTGATATAAAAGCCATAAAATTTATTGGCAGAAAATAATGCAGCCTATACATGTTTAAAAATATGAAGGCATATACTTACACAAACATTCAACTCATAATTCTATAAATTGTCATAATTTGGGGGTATGATTTCTTCCAGCTACAAAATGGAAGTTATGCCATACCTATGAATATTCTCTCCTCATATTCAGTTTTCAGAAACAATCCATTGAAGAACTATGATTATTTCCCCAGTTCAGTTTTTCTGCTTGACCTCATATGGCTGTCAGGCTTAGGACAGCTGACAAGACAATTAAGCAAAAGGCAGCCAAAAACAAAGAAAATAATAGGGAATTTTAAATAGTTGAATCAAAAAGCAAACTTTCTGACTCACCATGCATTGTCAAGTTGTCCCAAATGCTTTCTCATAGGTTCAGCAGGATGTTGATGACCTGAGCACCAGCTCTGTCATCCCCAATGGGAAGCTGCAATACCATAATGGTAACAGAGAAGCTATTGTCAGTGGGCTGCTTTAATTTAATTGCTCAGTTAAAAATTATGAGAAAGAAAACAAAAAAGTCTTATATATGACCATCATAAAGTGTAACATTAAATCCAAGGAAATTAGAATTCAGCATGATAAAAATAACAGGCTACTGAGCCTAAAGAAATACCAAGTTGAAAAACCCCAGACTTCAGGGATCTCTTCTATTTTCTTCTCTCTTTTCATTGGGATGATTTTATCCATTCTCAGGGCTTTATGAATCTACATGCAAAGGATTCCCAAATTTAAATTTCAAAGCTGATCCCCTTTTCCTGTACTCTAGACTTGTTTATTATTCTGCTTTCTTAGTATCTTTATTTGTTTTCATAATAAGAATCTTAGAATTCATATGGTCAAAACAACTTGATTCCTCAACCTTTTCAATACTCTTTCTTACTAAATTTCTCAGTTTCAGTTATTTTACATCCACCTAGGTGATTAAGCAAAACCCAAGAGTCATTCTTGATTCCTCTCTTGTAATGAAATCAATTATGGTTGGGCAAGGTGGCTCACACCTGTAATCCCAACACTTCAGGAGGCTGAGATGGAAGGACAACTTACTTGGGCCAGGAGTTTGAGACCAACCTGGACAACACAGCAAGAGCCCATCTCTACAAAAAAAATAAAAAAATTAACCGGGCATGGTGGCACATGCCTGTAGTTCCAACTACTCTGGAGGCTGAAGCAGGGGGATTGCTTGTGCCCAGGAGTTTGAGGCTACAATTAACTATGATTGTGTCACTGCCCTCCAGCCTGGGCAACAAAATGAGATCCTGTCTCTAAAAAAGAAAAAAAGAAAAGAAAACTAGATCTCAAAGCTAACATTACGTTTTTATCACACTTTCTCCCGTTACTCTCCTGGACTGCTGCAACAGAATCTTTCTCCTAGACTCCTTCAATATCCTCTAATTAAAACCCATTTTCTACCACTGCCCCTCTATAGCCTAGTATCCACATAAAAATTATATTGATACTTTCCACTAGAAAGTAAGTTTCCCAATCTTGTCCACCAAGGGATAATTATACCAACTAGCAAGTAACGCTTGGTAATATAGAAGCCAAACTCCATTATTGACCTGTAACAGTAAAACTACTGAATGTAATGGTGTAGAATGCGAGAATGTAATTCACTTACAATAAAGGTAATATGGAAAGGTACGAGGTGCGTTTGTTTCTCTCCTTCCTCAATCCTCAGTGGCTCTGCCTAAAATCAAGTTCTCCTTTTTCTGCATGTGGCCTCCTCTTCTCAATAACTATCATTATGTCATTTTCTTCTGGCCCACTAGCTGCTAATTATTACCCGTGGAAGTCAAACCAAGCTGTTGTAGGGGATCTGAATGGCCCCATAGTGCAGCAAGTTTGGAGATTTTCTGTGCTCATTCACTTGGGCCAGGTCTGTGTCTAGTGCTCTCTGCTTCCCTCGACCTCTCCTTTACCTCCAGTTCTCCTTTTCTGAGGACTATAACCTGCATAAATATGTCATAGACTCCACAACAAACATCTCTGAGAAAATGGAATCCTAAGCAGCAGTATTTAAAAGAGTCAATGAAAGTGTATGTCAGTGATTTAAGTCTTGTGAAGTGTGGTTTCAGGTGGAAGAACACTGAAAACACATAAGTGAATACAGAGAATGTCTCTAGCTCATGGTTCTCAAATTTTAGTATACTTCAGAATCATCTTACTAAGACACACATTGCTAGGCCACACCCCAAGGGATTTTAATTCAGTAGTTCTAGAGTAGTCAGAAGTTTTGCATTTCTAACAAGTTCCTAGGTTGTGCTGGTGATTCTCAGAAATCTCACTGTGAGAACTACAGTTCTAGGCTCCACACTGGAAAGTGGTTGCAAGTGAAAGGAATTGTGTTGTCTTTACCTGAACTTGTTCTTATCCATAAGAGACTTCCTGCAGGGAGTTTAATCTGTATTATATTTGTAGCCCCTCTGCACCACAGGAAATTGATGGCCAACAGAAGCAACTCCAGACTCTGAAACGACAGAAATTAAAAGATGGGTAACACTGCAAAAAGGAGAACTTGTGTGTTTGCCCCTAAAGGTAGTATATCAAATTCACAGAGTAACCTACTTTAGTAAATTTGGCAGTGATTCTTGGTCCTTATATCCAAGGATCATCAGTCAACTAATATGGGATTGGTCTGTGTATCAGTATTTTTAAATCTCACGGGTATTTTTAATGCATGTCATGATTGAGAACCACTATAGTCTACTGTGGTTTGATTTCCTATCTCTGCTAGACTTCCTTCTTTTTGGCCACATTAGTGTATCAAGTTAGTTATATGTATTTCATCTGAAATATAGAAGTCTCAGTCTAAGAAAGTGATTCTCAACCAATTGTGCTTTTTGCCCCCAGGAAGATATTTGGCAGTGTCTATATATATTTTTGATAAGCAGAACTCGGAAGTTCTACTGAAATCTAGTGGGGGGAGGCCGAGGAATGCTGCTGAACTCAATACAATGCATAAGAGAGTTCCCCACGACCAAGAGTTATCAAATCTGGACTATCCATAGTGCTAAAGTGGAAAAACCCTGGTCTAAGTGTGGGGCATGTTGTTCCCATGTTTCACCGAGAAGGGTTTGTTTTTAACAATACGTAAAGCATCAGCAAATTCTGATGGAAAAAAATCCTGGATCTTTTGATTTATGGTCATGAGAGAGGGAAGAGAAGAAATTGAGATCGAGCCAAATGAAAGTTTGATAAATTAAAGCAAACCAATTAAAAATTTAAAAATATTACCCTTCTCATGATTATGCCTACAATCAAGATCTGAGTGTGGAACATCAGTAACATTTTTAATGTTTCACTTAATCCTGGTTTTCTGCAATTTTTAAACCTCATTTAAAAATTCTATTTGATAAAGCAACTGTAGTGTTTAATGGGAAGGCATTATTGGTTATAAAACCATGTTGTATACTCTCTTAGGAGACTGGAAAAGCTTGACATAGTTTCAAAAGTTCAAAATGGTTTACAATATATTTATGGCACACTGTTTGGGATTAAGAATGTCATTTCTCAATCATTTGGTTAAGTTGATATGTAAAGACCTAGTATGAAAAACAGAAACCTTATTTGGGTTTTATTTTATTGATGTCATTGATTCTTCCATCACTGTTTCTCGTCAAGCTGTTCCTGCTAATTACTGCTGGCGCAAAACCACATTCTACATTTTCTCTCAAGATTGGATTGTTTTTTCTGAAGCGAATAAAGAAGGAAGGATCTAGCCAAAGTAATAATGCATTTTATTAACTTTCTGTTTGTTTTTTTAATTACCATTGACACTGGAAGCATTTTGTTATTCCTATTGTTTTTACATCAATAAAATTAAATTAAATGAGAAAATAAAGCCAAGATATGTAATTCATTAAATCTAGGAGCTGATTTCAGATGAACAATAGGGAAACAGTTGACATCATTTTCACCAAATTAGGCTGGGAAGGAAATGCTTTCCATGCAAATAATATCAAACGCAATAAATATGAGAATGTGGAGCATTAGGTTCCCTGCATACACATACTTTCTGTTGTCTACTTGAAAAGAATGAGTCATGACAATATGGTTGTAAAATAAGCAGATATTTCCAAAAAGCAAATAGTTGGGGAACTGGGAGGAGAGAGGAAACGAAGAACTAATATTTACTGAGTAGCTTCTAAGCACCCAGAAAAATGAAAGGTACACTTGACATACACAATCTCACTTGTGGCAAAACAATGGCATGGATACTGTCAACAAGACAAAAAATAGATTAAAAAAATATCAATTAGAAACTTCCAAGTATGCCTTGGTGCTGATAAGTCATTGACAAGGCAACATATCTGATTGTTGTAAGATTTTTACAGTTCACAAATTCCAAAACTCATCCTATCTCATCTCATAATTACCACATGGGCTGAGCAAGAAAGACACTATTATTCAAATTCTAGGGTTGAGAAGCTTAAGACCCATTAGCATTGAGCAACTATCTCAGGATCAACCAGCTAGTAAGTTGCAGAATCTGGAGACAGAATGCATCTTCTTTCTACCACACCGTGCTGCCTTTGCAGATACTGTTATGGCCTGAATTAATACTGCTATATTTTGCAATTTTTCTACATTTTGCTATGGAAAGAGTTCCAGGATGATTATGTAAATCTACCTCTCAATAACTCTTTCTAGGCTAGACCCAGGAAATAACTAGCTATTAAATATACTGCCCATTGAAATAATTTGGCAGAGATTAATCATATTTATTTATGCTAGAGTTTGACTTGACATGGATTTACCTGAGTTACAGGAGATTTTACCCCATCTCCTGCATGCACTTCTTCCCATTTCTCTATACCATTCCTCTCTTCTCAGGTTCAGGCCCCTGCTTTTTCCTTCTTGTCCTGTTCTCCTCCTTTACCCTATTTTTCTTTTCTCAGTATTATGTAGTAAGGATGAAAGTGTGAATTGGTATAATATTTTTATTTGGGGAAGTAGAACTTTACTAGCATGTGTCAAGAGTTTTAAAATGGTCACATTCCTAGATGCAGAAATCCACTTCATATAATGTATCCTAAGGGAGCGATTATAACTGGATGTAAAGACAAGACTCTTGTGTCAGTTTTCATGGAATCTCAAAGGCAGCAGGTACCAACCATTCCCTCAATACACAGAGAGGGGCTGGGCCACCCAAGTGGGATTGACAAAAGAGGAATGGGAGAATTGCTTTTATAACCCATACCTATAAAATAGGTTAGGAAGTCTGTGAGCAGAAATGAAGCTTGGCACACGTATGTTTATAGCGGCACTATTCACAATAGCAAAGACTTGGAACCAACCCAAATGTCCAACAACGATAGACTGGATTAAGAAAATGTGGCACATATACACCATGGAATACTATGCAGCCATAAAAAATGATGAATTCATGTCCTTTGTAGGGACATGGATGAAACTGGAAACCATCATTCTCAGCAAACTATCGCAAGGACAAAAAACGAAACACTGCATGTTCTCACTCATAGGTGGGAATTGAACAATGAGAACACATGGACACAGGAAGAGGAACATCACACACCAGGGACTGTTGTGGGGTGGGGGGAAGGGGGGAGGGATAGCATTAGGAGATACATGCTAAACACGAGTTAATGGGTGCAGCACACCAACATGGCACATGTATACATATGTAACAAACCTGCATGTTGTGCACATGTACCCTAAAACTTAAAGTATAATAATAATAAAATTTTTAAAAAAGGATATTTTCAATGGCTGTGGCCTTCTGCCTCCCTGATGCCATGGTGGAAGAGAGGGTGGGCATCAAAGCACCCATGTGGTAAGCTTGAGGTTGGGAGCTCAGGCAGAGCACTGTTTTCTAACTCAGCCTACAATAAGCCTACAATAATATGTCTAGAGAGAGGAACAGCGTAGGAACCAACCAGCTCCTTTTTCTTCCCATTTGCCTTGAACCACCTGCAAACTAATGCATAATTTCTGATTATTAGACTATAATAGACACACTCATTAATTTATCATGATTAGTCTCTTATTTGTCAGATACAATAAATAACTGGGGGCTTTTTGTTTTCCAAGAGTGGGGAAATTATCTATCTATATTAGCTGCCCTAGGTTTCAACTGGTTGTAATTTAAATTTTCTTCACTATCCTCGCCTGTGTTTTCTACATTTTCTACATAAATCCTTGCATTATAAATGGAAGAAATAGAAATAAATTATTAAGAAAATGATCAGCATCTCAAACAAGTAAATAAAAAACTGGAGAAAAGGATTTAGTTATGTGTTCCACAATTTTTTCTTTCAAAAATCTTTTTATCAGCTTTATTGCTTACATAAATATATAAAACAAACACTCATCAAATTTGCTAATTACATATAGGTAAAAAGGATTGTGAAGCAAATAATTATCACATCAAATCTGAGGTCAATGTTATTACTGACATTTTATAGATGAGAAAACTGTATTTCAATAAGCCACGTGTGTCCAACTGATAGCCACTAAGTAGCAGGGTTGAAATTCCAAATCTTTTCTGTTGGCTTGGAGTTTGTTTTAAGGAGAATTTACACATGAGGTGAAGAACAGAACTCACTGACATTGAAGATCCCTTACAAATCTGACATGTTAATATTTCATTTTATTAAATTGAAAACAAAAACAAGCAAACTCATTTCTGTAAAGGAAATAAAGCACAGTTGAAAAGGAGTTGCTAAGCTTGCTATATTGACATAGTTTGCTTAATTCTTTCAAAGAACCCAAATGTAAGTCTCTACAGGACAGAAATTGCTGTGAAAGTAAGTAAATAACATATAAGAAATAAAATAAAGACTATGAAATAAAAAGATACATTGTCCAAAACGAAAAGAATGACAGAAGTTTTGTCAATTGTGTGTGTGTGAAATTTAATCATGTGTTGATAACAGCAGCCATGTTATGTCTCTAACTTGATGTACATGTACTATTTCCCAGCTTCATGAAAGACACAGCTTTTTGATAAACCTTTTATTGAACAGGAGCATTTTAATTGCACACAATTAACTTGAAAATGTGAAGTTAAATGGCAATCTCTAATATATTCACAGTACCTCTAAAGACCACCCCAAGGGCAAATTTTAGTTTGAATGCAAATCCTCTGTTTTCCAGGCCACATAAATTAAATTGGAACCACACATCTTTTAAGTAACAACCCCTTACATCGCTATGATAGGCTCAGAATATCATGGTCTCCTAGAAAGAATATATTCATAGGGAAGAGAAATGCAAAATTCATACCTAAGAAAAAATATGCAGATAAATATTTTCTCCTATTGAATAACGCAGTTAGGTTGAAGGGTTAGCACCCTTCTCTGCAAGAAGCAACACTTTGTTAGGAAGTTGTTACTATCCCAAAATAAAGTGAGATGCCAGATGTGTAAGTCTAGCATGTGGGTTCGACAGAACAGTCACAGAATTATTTGCAAAATGCTGCATAAGATTAGTAAATGTATTTTTTCAACACATATATACTATTGACAGAGGTATGAGTAGAGTTAATACATACTTTCCTAACTTGGGACTCTAAATCAAAGTTTTATAAAAGACTTCCATAGAGATCATGGAAGGTTGGAGATGTATAGTTTCTTCATTTTATAATGGTAACACAGTTCAATGCCTATTTACTACCCCACTAATGAGAATGTAATGGGTTAAGCTGAGATCATGTTTTGAACATGGTTTTAAGCTACTCTTCCCTAATTTAGTAGTATTAGGGGTAAGCTATTAAACAGCAGCTTCTTCCATCCAGAAGTTCTCCTATTAGCAGAGTATCCGTTACATACTTGTAAGCTATAAATAACAGAAGACCTAATGCAAAGTTACTCAAACACTAAGGAAATAATGTACTGGACCATTTAACTCAAAGTCCACAAGTAGGGTTGCTCAGGTTTACCATAATCCAAAAGTCTATGTCCAATTTCTCTGTGATACTTGGCTGTACTATCCTCTTGATTTGGTTCATCCTTGGGGTTACTGATGACAGTGGAAGTTCTAGCTCTGACCAGCATTCATCTTTGTTTCCAGGGGCACAAAGGGTGTCTTGCCCAAGGATATTCTCTTCAGTCCATTGCATTTTCCCTCAAAAAGTCCCTAGTTCACTTTTTCTCATTGACCTGAATTTGGTCATATGTCCGTTTGTAAATTAAATGCTGTTTCTAGTGGCATGTCATCAACAATTTGCTTAGTCCTGGGTTCCTAAAGTAATCTCTGTTTCTAAAGTGCCTAAGATTAGCGTTAACATTAAATGAAGCAAGTCCATCCCTAGTGTTCAGAATGGATTCACATATACTGTCTTGGGGAATGTGTAGACACAAGAAGGGAAATCACAGAACTGTAAGAAAGAGGAAAGAAAAATGGGGTGGACAACAAAAAATGCCCTTATAGCTCATTATTCTCCCTAACCAAAAGAAAGAGCTGAATAATGTGGAGAATATTCTCTATCCCATTTTAAAGAAAGCATTTAAGGCTTTTATTCTAAAATTATTTTTGCTTCTGGAGCATGGAGTGTACACTGTTAAATAGCATGGTTTGGCATAATCCTGCTCAGTCTTCCTGAAAAACAAGAAAATATGCATAACATGCTATGTTTAATGTGAAAAGTAAGGCCAGACTGAAAAATTGCCTTAGAATCCAAGGTAGGCCATGCATTAGTTTTGGACCAATGGTTCAAAGGTAGGCTACAATTTAACAATGCAGATTTTAGGTTGCATAATCTTTCATTAAAATAGCAAATAAGTCATGTTTTCCTGATCAAGGAGCCAAATTTCAAATGGGTGAGAGTTAATTTAAATACTGTATGGCAATGTGTGTGCAAGTAGTAGAAAAGGAAGATTCTAATACAAAAAGAATTTGATTCTGTTTGCTAGGGAGAGAGGTCAAAAAGTATAAAACAAAGTAAAACAAAGGCTAAAAATGTTGAAATCTCTTTTCTAACATCCATTTCATAGCACCATAAAGATAGACATATAGTCTTCTCTATCTACAAAGTCCTTTCAAGAGAGCCCAAGCTAGGCTGGGCACGGTGGCTCACGCCTGTAATCCTAGCACTTTGGGAGGCTGAGGTGGGTGGATTGCTTGAGCTCAGGAGTTCGAGACCAGCCTGGGCAACATGGTGAAACCCTGTCTCTACTAAAATACAAAAAATTAGCTGGGCGTGATGGTACACACCTGTAATCCCAGCTACTAGGGAGGCTGAGACAGGAGAATCACTTGAACCTGGGAGGTGGAGGTTGCAGTGAGCTGAGATCATGCCACTGCACTCCAGCCTGGGTGACAGAGCGAGACTTCGTCTCGAAAAAAAAAGAAAGAAAGAAAGAAAAAAAAGAGAGAGAGCCCAAGCTGCATTTATACAACCCAGCCCTAAGGGTAACGTGTTACAAATGTGGCATTTAAAAAATGGCTTGAAATGCTTTATTTCATTTTATTGTATTAACATGGTTAAACAAACCAACCTAAAATGCATATTTAAAAACTTCCTTTTAAATATACCTTTCAGCAAATAAGTTAGCAGACAGGAGGAAATATTCAAGAAACTAACATTCTCATCAGAGTGAAGGAATAGTAGGGAAATCCTGGTTGCAATCCAGCATGAACAAAATGGTTGGGTTTTCCATCTACCTCCTGCTGGCCTAAAACATTAACCAGAACCACTGCACCTGTTAGATTCTCAGTTGTCCACTGCTTCCTTACTGTACTTTATACAGTAGAGGCATTTCTGGAAATAATTCAGAAAAGTAACATGTAAATTAAACCATATTTTCTTATTGATGACCATGGTGTATTTTGAAATGTGTTCATTTAGGAAAACAAAATGTTTGGCTGCATTAAATAGTAAGAACTATAAACAATAAATCAAAGTACTTTCCAAAATAGCACATTAAAGAAAATATAGGCCAGGTGTAGTGGCTCATGCCTGTAATCCCAGCATTTTGGGATGCCAAGATGGGAGGATTGCTTGAGACTAGGAGTTCAAGACCATCCTGGGTAACATAGCAAAACCCCCATCTACACACACACACACACACACACACACACACTCACACACACACACATCAAATAACCAAGTGTGATAATGTGCTTCTGTAGTCCCAGCTACTCAGGAGGCTGAGGTAGGAGAATCGCTTGAGCCCAGGAGTTCAAGGCTGCAGTGAGCTATGATTGTGCCACTGCACTCCAGCCTAGGCAACAGAGCAAACCCTGTCTCTAAAAAAAATTAAGAAAATATAATAATTTTACATATTTAAATACAAATATTTTAAATAGTACTTTAAATATTAAGCAAATGTTATTCTAAGCCATAATGTATTAAACCGAAAATACATTATCTGATTAGGAGATCCATAATACAAAAATATCTTTATGCCTTTGTTTGGTCTACAGCTATCAGAAAGGAAATGCTATTCATAATAATTATGAAACTCAGAATGTTAAGTACATATTATATTTTCAATTTATTTTTTCTGTAAATAAACTTAAGCTATGCTTTGAAGCCCCAGATAAAAGAAAGTGAATCTTTGTAAGTTCAAGGTCAGCCTATCTCTTTTTTCCTAGGAGACTGAATCTAAGATTTGAGAAGCTTACTACGTAGTGTGAAGGCCTTTGAGAAGAGGCGTCTACTCCTTCTAATCCACCTCTGCTGCATCTGAGATTACCTTGTTCCCATCAGGGTGTTTGCCCTTAACTTGTGTCTCTCCTAGGGCCTCCTCCTCAACCCTTCTCAAGGTTCCCCAGCTCTCAGTGGCAAATCTGCAACATTCTCAGCTGTGTGAAAACATTCTTCACTCTCTGAACTGCAAGGAAAAAACTGCATGGCTTCCTCAGGTCCATCAATCTACCAACCCATTATAAACAATACGTTTTTGAAAATAACTTTTTTATGTGGTTAATTATATATAACATAAAACTTACTATTTTAATCATGTTTAAGTGTATAATTTAGTGGCATTAAGTACATTCACATTGTTGTACAACCATCACCACCATCCAACTGCAGAATTTTGTCATCATTCCAAATTAAAACTCTATCCATTAAACAATAACTCCCCATTACCTCCTTCTCCAAGCGCTTGGTGACCATTATTCTACTTTCTGTCTACATCAAAAACAATTCTTATGCTATCTCATTGCATTAGTGGGTTACTGTAAATCCTGGTTTACCAGGGATGGTCCTGATTGACATCTATTGTCCAGACATTTCATCAGATTTAACACTTGCTCAGACCATTTTCACCCTCAAAATGCCCTTGTGTTTTTTGTTTGTTTGTTTGTTTGTTTGTTTTGTTTTGTTTGTTTGTTTTGAGATGCAGTCTCGCTCTGTTGCCCAGGCCGGAGTGCAGTGGCACGATCTTGGCTCACTGCAAGCTCCGCCTCCCGGGTTCATGCCATTCTCCTGCCTCAGCCTCCCTAGTAGCTGGGACTACAGGCGCCCGCTACCACACCCGGCTAATTTTTTGTATTTTTAGTAGAGACGGGGTTTCACTGTGTTAGCCAGGATGGTCTTGATCTCCTGACCTCATGATCCGCCCGTCTCGGCCTCCCAAAGTGCTGGAAAATGCCCTCGTTTTAATGATTAAATGATACAGTCATCCTACTAGAGCACTGTTGGTTGTATTTGGTTAGTAAGTTCCGCCCAAGTAAGGAAGCTATGGAACCTTTCTGGTCTCAGGTGTCCAAACTTCTCTAGGGTTTTTATCTCCCCAAAGAAGATACTGATGAGAAGTGTGGAGGAGACAGGGGTTTGTGGATCCTCTCAGATTAAATATTTTCTTTTACTTTCTTGTCCCTTCCCCAGTCCAAAGAGTCTTTATTTAATGAAGATTGTGAGCCTGGCTCGCTATCATTTTCAGTAGATAGCTTAGGCTTTTAAAATTCAAATATTTATTTCTGCCATGAGCCAAAAAACACGTAATGTGCCATGAGCCACAAAACACAAAAAACATATTCTGAAACTCAAAATAAAAAATTGACTCTTTTCTTCCCACAGTACTACCTGTGTCTTAAGGCAATCATTGCCAGAGTCTAGCTACCCAAATGCGGAAATGACCATAAGGTAATGAGAAACACTAGCAAAAGTTAATGTGATCTGTATTTCAAAATATTGACCAACACACTTAAAAGCATATTCTTGCAACTGTTTTCTGGAGAAATTAAACCTGTGTGTCACGTTTCTTCATTGTGTATGGACTGTTGGTGACCGTCATTACCTATTGAGTATTCTCTATTGAGAATAATGAAGTTTCTGTCAGGCAGTTAACACAGGCAACTGCTGCTGACAAACTATGTCAGGGTCATGCCACGCTTGGTGCAACTCAGGGGCAGATTGCCAACTCTTAAAAAACTATGTCAGGAGGCAAGATTTGGCAGAATCAGAAACATTGCAATTAGAATCTAACTATCAGTCCAAGTTGAGGGTACAGTCTAAAGTAAGATTGCTAAATTAAAGTGAGGAAGCAGGCTCAAGAGAGTTGAGGAATTACAAACTAGAATAAAGTGGAAATGGAGAATATAATTTGAATGGATGGAAATTCAGTTGAAAGAGGTAGTTAGGGGGTTATAGTAAAGGATGAGGGCCTGGAGAGGAAGGAGGGGACAGAAAGTAGGTAACAAAAATTCTACTGTGTATTCTCCAAAGTAGAAACTGATAAATCTAGAGTAATAAATCTTACTGATGTCATTGCCACTTCCAGTGGTAGTTTTTCCTGTTATTGCAGAATGAGTCAGAGAAACTATAAGTACCAAATTGTACCTGGTTATTTCTCTGACTTATTGGACCTGACTATGAGGTCAGCCCCTGTTCGACTCTTCAATTTCACCCACCACTCATATACACACACAATTCCAGACTATTAAAAAATAAATATTATAAAACAATTATTCCTATAAGTTGCTTTTTTCTTGTTTTCTTTATTTGTTTGTTTGTTTATATTTCCACTGAATGTTTTACTTTTAATTTGTGACTCCATCACCTTACATTAAAGTGCTTGGCTTATAATACCCATGTTTCTGTTCTCTGTTATATTAAAAAAGAATCTCCCAGAAATGCAAATTAGTCCATTAAATTCACATTTAGTTGATATTCTATTCCAGAAATCCAAAGGGCAGAAGTATACATCTTGAATTAGAAAATTGCTTAGCTGTCTGTATGAAGGTACTTACAGAAAATCATTAGAAACATTATGAATAGGTTGACCCTTCAATAAGAGAAAAAAGACCCGCAAGCCCTACCTCACTTAGTCTTATTCTGTATTGTTTGGATTTGTGCTAGCATCCTGTTTTTCTAAGCCTACAACTATATACCCAATAACTTGCAAATCTGACTTTGAAAATGCTTTGTACATTCTACCATGTAAATTGTGCAAAATAGTGTTTTCTCCAACCACACTATTTGCCCACTGACACAAACTGAACACTGTTAAACATGCTTTATATCATGCCTGGTTTCCCTTTCCAGGAAAGGTCTCAGCTCTGTGTGGGTAGGGCAGATTTTAAGTAAGAACATTAGGTATTTATGTCTCAGCTTCCTTCCTTTCAATATTAAGTGCTGAGTTGCCCTTCACTGACAGCCAAATGCTGAAATCATAGCCATGTTCCACACATTGGAGAGACACATTCATACAGGATGATGAATTTTTTCTCAAGATGGTATCTCCTATACACAGTTACATAAGTGATAGAGATGAGACTGAGAAAAAGAAATATAAAAAACCATTTATAATCGAAATCCTTTGACACTCTTTCACCTTAACAAAACAAAACAAAAATGTGAATATTCTTTGTATTTTCTTGTTGTTGTTTGTTTGTTTGTTTGTTTTTGAGACAGGATGTTGCTCTGTCACCTAGGCTGGAGTGCAGTGGCACAATAATGGCTCACTGAAACCTAGAACTCCTGGGTTCAAGTGATCCTCCTGCCTCAGCCTCCGGAATAGACTGGACTACAGGCATGTACCATTATGCCCAGCTGTGTGTGTGTGTGTGTGTGTGTGTGTGTGTGTGTGTGTGTGTGTGTGTTGGGGGGGTGTAGAAATGGGGACTTACTAGATTGTCCAAGCTGATCTTGAACTCCTGGCCTCACATAATCTCCTGCCTTGGCCTCCCAAAATGCAGGGATTACAGGTGTGAGCCACTGCACCTGATTTTATTCTTTGTATTTCTAAGTGTGCAAGTTTGATTTCCAGATTGATAATTCTTGAATTAATTTTTCCTCTTTCCATTTAAAAATATTGGAAGAAAAAGATCCATTGGGAATGGCTAGAAAATTATATCTTGGTAGAGACATAATTATGGCACTTATTGAAACTTAAATTTTTCCACTATAACATAAAATGAGTGTCATTAGGAACATTAAAGTGCTGAAAGATGTGCACAAATCCTAGGACACTAAGGATTACTTGGAAATGACAAAAATAAAAGACTAGAAGAATTTAGTAGAATAATTCTGCCACTGATGTCTTCCATTAGAAAAAAACACACCTGACTAAAATCACACTCCTGGGCCCTGTATTATCTGCTCCCAGTTGCACATTCCACATTTTGGTGATAAAGGAAAAGACTAGCCTGGCTGCTTTCCTCTCTGCCTCTGAAACATGCCATGCACATGGTACCCTCTTCCTTCTGTGCATGTTTTATTAAGACCTAGAATGCTGTCTCTCCTCTTCTAGCCAGCCTACCAACCTTGTGGGATGCAAATTCAGTCCTCTTCTGCTAGGCCTTTCTTGGCTCCATCAGCCCACAATATTCCTCCTTCCTCTGAATATGCTCACTGTTCAATACTGAAAAAATGCAGAAATTATAAAAAATTTAAGTCGCTCATGATTCCACTACTTAGAGATACTGAGTAAAATACAGAGTAAAAGTGCTACAGATAAAAAGAATGCAGTAGGTAAGGGGGATACAGAGCACAGGGGTAGGAGGATGAGCGTATATTGCATTGTCAGATGGAGTGATGGGAAAGGACTTTTGAAGGAGGGGCTTAGAAAAGGACCCAAAGGACTTAATCCTGGAGTGAAACAAAGTCCCTGATAGAGACAACATGACTGGCACATACACAGAATAGAAAAAAAAAAAAATCAGTGTGGCTACAGAAAAGAATCAAGGAAGAGAGAATGGATTAACATAAGAAAGATAAATGGTGGAGATGAGGAGTAAATAGTGCACAGCCTCATAGACAGTTTTTAGGACTTCAACTTTTGTCTGACTAGGAAATGACTGGATAGTACTGAGCAGAAAAGTGACAGGATCTGACAACTCTGTCTCACATTTCAACTGGGCCACATTGACTGCTGAAGTGAGCAAGGGCAAAAGGAGGGACACCAGTTAGGAAGTTATTGCAATATTCCAGGTAAGCGGTTATGGAGGCCTTGATCAGGATGATGGGAGTGGAGGTGGTGAGAAGTAGCTTGTCTTAGTCTGTTCGGGCTGCTATAATAAAAATACTACAAACTAGGTAGCTTATAAATAACAGAAACTTATTTTCACAGTTGTGGAGACTGCGAACTCCAAGTTCACGGCATTGATAGATTCAGTGTCAGGTGAGGGCTCATTTCCTAGACAGCCGTCTTTTGGATACAACCTCACGTGGCAGAAGGGACAAGGCATCTCTCTCAGGTCTCATTTATAAGGGCACTCATCTCATTCATAAGAACTCCACTCATGGCCTAATTACTTCCCAAAGGCTCCACCTCCTAATGTCATCACCTTGATGGTTAACATTTCAACATAAGAATTTGTGAGGGACATAAACATTCCAAATATAGCATAGCTTTATCCTGGATATATTTTGAAGAAAGAGCTAATGATTTATTGGATATGGGATGTAAGAAGAAGAGAACCACCAAGGTTGATCTTCAAGATTTGGGGCATGGAAAAATAAAATGAAGTTGCCATCAACCTAGGTGGAAAGACCACGGAAGAAACACTTTCTTGGGGGAGAGGGATTAGGAGATAGTTTGGGACAAGTCAAATTTGAGATGATTTTTATATATCAAAAAGTGGGATCCATTGTCCCAAACCTCATTGAAAAGTGGAGCTGGACTGGTTCTGAAAAAGAGGAGGATTTAGGGGGACAAAAGAGATAAATAAGACAATATTTACATTTAGAAGGGATATGAGCAAGACAAAGATCTTTCTCTCTCTTTAAAAATAAAAAGTATTGTGTACATTTGGGGTATACAACATGATGCTATGGGATACATATATACTAAAAAGGTTACTATAGTGAATAAAACTAACATCCGTTGTACCACAGCTACCTATTTTTGTGTGGCAAGAGCAGCTAAAATCTACTCATTTAGCATCAATCTCATATACAGCACAATTTTATTCTATAGTTCTGTTAATTTGTATCCTCTGACACACATCTCTCCATTACCCTTCTCCTTAACCACTGTTTTGTTCTCCTTCTCTGTAAATTTGGATTACTTTTTATATTCCACATATAAATTAGATTATTAAATATTTTTGTGTGTGTGTCTGGCCTATTTCATAAAGCAAAATGTCCTTCAGGCTCATCCATGTTGTGACAAATGGCAAAATCTCCTTCTTTTTTGGTCTTGTTAAATGTATTAAGACTTGCCTTGTGGCCTAACATATGCTCTATCCTAGAGAATATTCCATGTGCACTGGAGACAAATGTGTATTCTGCTGCTGTTGGATGGAAAGTTCTATGCATAGCTGTTGGGTCCATTTGGTTAAAAATGTAATTCAAATCCAATATTTACTTATTAATTTTCTGTCTGGCTAATCTATCAATTGTTGTAAGTGGGAGATTTCCAAAATTGCAGGATACTGGTACAAAAACAGATGCACAGACCAATGGAACAGAATAGAGAGCCCAGGCCGGGCGCGGTGGCTCACACCTGTAATCCCAGCACTTTGGGAGGCCGTGGCGGGCGGATCACGAGGTCAGGTGATCCAGACCATGGTGAAACCCCATCTCTACTAAAGTACAAAAAATCAGCCAGGCGTGGTGGTGGGCGCCTGTAGTCCCAGCTACTCTGGAGGCTGAGGCAGGAGGATGGCGTGAACCCGGGAGGTGGAGCTTGCAGTGAGCCGAGATCGTGTCACTGCACTCCAGCCTGAGTGACAGAGCAAGACTCCATCTCAAAAAAAAAAAAAGAATAGAGAGCCCAGAAATAAGGCCATACACCTACAACCATCTAGTATTCGACAAAGCTGACAAAAACAAGTAATGGAGAAAAGACTCCCTATTAAATAAATGATGCTAGGATAACTGACTGGCCATATTCAGAAGATTGAAACTGGATCCCTTCCTTACATCACATACAAAAATCAATTCAAGTTGGATTAATGACTTAAATGTAAAACCCAAAATTGTAAAAACCATGGAAGAAAACATAGGCAATACCACTCTGGATATAAGAGAAGATTTCATGACGAAGACACCAAAAGCAATTGCAATGAAAGCCAAAATTGACAAATGAGATCTAATTAAACTAAAGAGCTTCTGCACAGGAAAAGAAACTATCATGAGTAAACAGGCAAACTAGAGAATGAGAGAAAATTTTTGCAAACTATGCATCTGATAAAGTTCTAAGATAAGGAACTTAAACAAATTTACAAGATAAAAACAAACAACCCCATTAAAAAGTAGGCAAAGAACATAAACAGATACTTCTAAAAGAAGACATACCTGTGACCAACAATCATATGAAAAAATGCTCAGCATCACTAATCATTAGAGAAATGCAAATCAAAACCACAATTATATACCATCTCACACAACTCAGAATTGTGATTATTAAAAAGTCAAAAAATAACAGATCTAGCAAGGTTGCAGAGAAAAGGGAACACTTACTTCTATGCTGTTGATGGGAATGTAAATTAATTCGACCATTGTGGAAAGCAGTGTGATGATTCCTTAAAGAGCTAAAAGAAAAAGAACTACCATTTGACCCAGGAATCACATTGCTGGGTATATATCCAAAGTAACATAAATCATTCTATCCAAAGGACATGTGTAGGCTTATGTTCATTGCATCACTATTCACAATAGGAAAGACATGGAATCAACCTAAATGCCCATCAAGAGCAGACTGGATAAAGAAAATCTGGCACATATACACCATGGAATACTATGCAGTTGTAAAAAACAAAAAAAGAACAAGATTATGTGCTTTGCGAGAATATGGATGGAGCTGGAGGCCATTATCCTTAACAAACTACCTCAGGAACAGAAAACCAAATACCACATGTTCTCACTTATAAGAGAGATCTAAATGATGAGAACACATGGACACAAAAGAGAGAAACAATAGACATTATGGCCTACCTGATGGTGGAGGGTGGGTGGAGGGAGAGGTTCAGGAAAAATAACTAATGGGTACTAGGCTTAATACTTGAGTGATGAAATCATCTGTACAACAAACCCTCATGACATGAGGTTACCTATATCACAAATGTTATATAGGTAACATTTATACCTATGCATGTACCCTGAACCTAAAATAAAAGTCTATTTTAAAGAAAAATACAGCTATATGAATAAAATGTGAAGATATATATATATACACACACACACATATAGCATACAAAAAGAAAGTTGGGTATTGAAGTCCCCTGCTATTATTGTATTGCTATCTATTTCTCCCTTCATATCCGTTAATATGATTTCAGTTTTCTTAAATGTATTAAGACTTGTCTTGTGGCCTAACATTTGCTCTATCCTAGAGAATATTCCATGTGCACTGGAGAAAAATGTGTATTTCGATGCCATTGAATGGAAAGTTTATTTGCTTTATGTATTTGGGTACTCCAAAATTGGGTGCATATATATTTACCATGTTTATGTCCCCATTGTGAATTGGCCCCTTTATCATTAAATAATTACCTTGTCTCTTACAACAGTTTTTTACTTGAAGTATAGGCATGTCTGCTTTCTTTTGGTTACCATTTGCATGGAATAATTTCTTCCTTCTTTTCATTTTCAGCCTATGTGTGTCTTTAAAGCTTAAGTGGGTTTCTTGCAGATTCTCTCTCTCTCTTTCTCATATCTCTCTCTGGTGTCTTCTATATTGAATGAAGGAATTATAAGTGAATATGTGTAATCTATGTAGAAAAAGTATAAATCCATATTCGGTAGAAACTGGGAAGAGGTTTGATTCTATAATTCTTCTGCTAGTGCTCACTGATTTCCTCATTGTTTTTCCTGAGGCTCTAGCTTTCTCCTGGTGTCTGTTTCCTCAGGCCTCATTTCTGAACCAGTCAGTCATGATTAGCCTAGCAGGGTCACCTGGCACAGAGCACAATGACCTATGTTTTAGGAGGCCCTGTGAGGTGGGTGTGAGCCTGGAGGCATTTTTAAACTTCTCAAATGGGGGCAGTGAAATTGACAAGTTCTAACACCACATGCTGATCTGAACCCTTAGCAACATAGAGGTGAGATCTGGTAGTTGTGTGTCCAGGTTTCCTTGGTCTCTTCACTAGTCTTTGCTATAGAGAGAAATTATATTAACAGCTTGCCAATATTCAGGTGAAATGAACTGTTACTACACATTTTAGCTATGGTTTCCATAATTTCATCCTTGGGTTCCTTTAAAACTCTTGGGAGGATGCCAACCTGTCCCGAAGATTCACGAACATCTAACTCGTTAATTTTTTCTATGCTATTAAAAATATAGAACATATTCTCCAGTATGGGTCATTTTAACTTCAATTTCAAATAATTTGCTTTATAATATGCCCATAATGGTTCTTATTTTCCCATAAGTTATGAAATTTGCACTATAGCCCCAAAATATTTGTGAAAAATACATTACTTTCAATTTGTGAATATTAAATGAAAACCTAACTATAGCATCAGTCCCCAGAGGTTCTAAAAGTAAAAATAACCTTTATGGCATCTGGGGAAGTCTATTCTTATGCTCTCTCGTTTTATGCTGCATGATTGGACATTTTAAGTTACAGATATCAACTCCTGTGATGGAGAATCCTGAACGTCTGGTCCAAGGAGATCAAGTAACAAAGTGTATTACAAGATGTCATGTGTGTAAGCTCCAAATTCATGCCTCCTGGGACAAAACTTCTGCTCAGCCACTTGCTAGCTGTGTGATGTCGAGCAAATTATTTAATCTCACTGAATTTCAACATCTTCACCCACCAGTTGGGTATAAATATTACAAAGTCTTGTAACTCAAAGGATAAATGCTTGAGGGGATAGATACCCTATTCTTCATGATGTGCTTATTTCACATTGCATGCCTGTATCAAAATCTCTCATGTACCCCATAAATATATATACTTCATATATACCCATATAATTTTAAAAAATAAAAAATAAAACTATGAGGATTAAACAAGATGAATTGTGAGTGGTGCTTGGCCTGGTGACAAATATCCAGAATGCATTTAATAAATAATAACTGTTAATATTATTACTAAAGGAGACTTCCATTTGAGATTAACTGCAGCATTCATGGTTATGGGTTTTCTAGTTTTCAGCCTGACCAAATTATATTCTGTTATCAGCAATGAGGAAAACAAATTTGATTGATCTGATAATCAGAATACTAGGCAAATAATCTTATTTATCTTATTTAATTACCTTTGATTCAAAAACATGTTTCAACTATGGGCTATTTATAACTAAATAATAAGGGTTCCAAATGTGATATAAAGTCTAGGCCTCTATGTTTCAATCTGAAATTTATTTTCTTTATTGAATCATGGCTTCAAAAAACCCATTTCTACCCTACAAATAAACAAATTAAAATTTTTTATATGGAAGAATAATATGGCTATGACAGCCAGACAATTATTCTCAACAATAAAGAACTATCAATACTGAGAAAAACTATTTAACTATTTATGACTGTTTATGATTCCATAGGACATTATCTAAAACCTACAGCAAACACTTAGAGCCTGGAGCAACAGTACATAATTTGTGAAATTTGATTAGATTTACAAATGTAATACGTATTTTCATTCAATAACAGCTTCACCGCTCCCTGATTCTCCTCCCACCTCTTTAGCCATTCCATTTCAAGTTTTGTTTTGTTTTGTTTTTTTCTTTCTTTTTTGAGACACGATCTTGCTCTGTTGCCAGGCTGGAGTGCAGTGGTGCAATCTTGGCTCACTGCAACCTCTGCCTCCCAGGATCAAGCGATTCTCCTGCCTTGGCCTCCAAAGTAGCTGGGACTACAGGCACATACCACCACGCCCAGCTAATTTTGTTGTATTTTTAGTAGAGACGGGGTTTCACCATGTTGGCCAGGATGGTCGCAATCTCTTAACCTCGTGATCCGCCCGCCTCAACCTCCCAGAGTGCTGGGATTACAGGCGTGAGCCACCGTGCCCAGCCATTTCAAGTTCTTTAATGGCTTTTCTTCATCTCTTCAGTGCTCAAATATTGTTGTCTTTTAGAGTTCAGTCCTTGATTGTCTTTTATTTTCGCTCCACTCAGTTACTCTGGAGGATGTTGTAAATGTTGTAGTTTTAAATAACATCACTATACTTATGATTTATCAATTAAGGTATCCATATCATTTCTTACCTGTAGTATTGCAATATACTCCTAACCAGTCATAGCCACCTTCCTTCACATTGTCAATTCTGCCACATCAATGTCTTTACTTATATGTAAATTTAATCATGTCACTTCATCGCTTATAAATATTTCCAATCCTAGTCTACTATTTGTAATTTTAAAAAATATATAAATTAGAAAAACTCTCAAACATACACAAAAGTAGAGAGAATAGTAAGACAAACATTCATGTGCCCATTGCTCTAATTCTATAATTATCAACATTTTGTCATGTTTGCCTACCCTTCTTTTATTTTTAAATGTCTTATTACTAAAGTACTTTTAAGCAAATCCCTAAATACTCCAAAATGCATTTCTTTAAAAAGTTTTCTTCATATGTTTGGGTTTTTTAATGTGATTTTGAAAAATGCATGTATATATGTGAATTAATCAAGTTTGTCTAGTTGAAACTATTTGGTTGCTGTATTTAAGATTATTTAAATTTTTTTATCATTTATAAAAATAAAATCCAACCTAACTCATATTCTCAAAATCTAGCTTCTATTTAAATGTATGTCCTCACCTCCTGATACTCCTCCTAAACTATTCTATACCACATCCCCAACTATTTGCTATTTATCATATTATCTTTCACTCATAAGGCTTTTCACAAAAGCTTCCTTTGCCTAAACTGGCCTGGCCTTTCTTCCTCTCCCTATTCCATTATTAATTGTTCATCCACTAATCTTTCAAATTTTTCCACAGCACATGGCACACCATAATATTCGGTGGGAAGACATCAGTCAAAAGTCTAAAAGGATTAAAATAATGAGACACCACTACACACCTATTAGAATAGCTAAAATCCAAAACACTGACAACATCAAATGCTGGTTAGGATGTGGAGCAACAGGAACTCTCATGAGTAGTAGTAATGAAAAATCATACAGTGACTTCAGAACACAATTTTCGTGTTTTTTACAAATCTAAATCTTATTGCATAATCAAGCAATCATGTGCCTTGGTATTTAACCAAATGATTTAAAAACTTATGTCTACAAATATACCCGAACATGAATGTTTACAATAGCTTTATTCATAACTGCCAAAACTTGAAAGCAAATAAAATGTTCTTCAGTAGGTGAATAGATAAATAAACTGTGGTATATCCAGAAAAAATATAATTAAACAATAAAAAGAAAGAAGCTATCTAGCCACAAAAAAGGAGGAACCTTAAAAGCACATTACTAAGCAAGAGAAGCCAATCCAGAAAGACTACACACATATGATTCCAATTATATGACATTCTAGAAAAAGCAAAACTATGGAAATAGTAAAAAGATCACTGGTTGCCAAAGGTTGGGGTGGAGGGAGGGAAAAGCAGAAGGGGCACAGAAGATTCTTACGGCAGTGAAAATATTCCGTATGATTCTATAATGATGTATATATGTAACACAAAGAATGGACCCTATTGCAAACTGTGGACTTTGGGTGATAATGATGTATCAATGTTGGTTCATAGGTTTTAAAAAATGTGCCTGATGTAAGATGTTGATAGTAGGGGAGGCTGTGCATGTATGGGTACAGGAGATTACAGGAAATTACTGTACTTTCCACTCAATATTGCTGTGAACCTAAAACTGCTCTAAAAAATAAATTATATATATTTTTAAAAGTTCAAAACATCTACAGGTTGTTAGAATTCACAAAATGTTTCAAAATATTTCATGAACATTTTATAATATTCATACCAAAATACATGAAATCATGAACTGATATCACTAGACAATGCACTTATACAGATCAGAGATCATATCATTCTATTATCTTTGATTCTTCAGGGCCTAGCACATTCCTTGGGGCATGGTTCATACTCAATAGATATTAAGCAAATACAGAATCCTAACTGAGACAAACTCTATAACATAATTAAATTCCTGTAAAATAAATATGAAAAAAATACTGTTCATTTGCAATGGCTCTGCCCTGATTCTAGATTTTAATTATGTTATACGTACATAATCAAATACATGAAACAAGGTTACAAACTGAATAGTAAAATTGAAAAAAGAGACGGATGGATTCAGTTTTCACATTGACACTTTCTGTTGATAACCTTATCCGTAAACTTATTCCTTGGAAATATGTTGGCCATCATGTCGGCACAATTCAAATGTCTTACACATATTGTTATGCTCTCAAAACCCTATGATTTTCTTGTGGGAGAGGATACTGTTTTTTAATGAAGAAACTGAGTCTCTGTGAGTGTAATTGAGTCATCCAGAGTCATTAATGTCAGTAGTAAGCAAACATTCAAGCAATCCTCTACATTCTCCTTTGGTTTTCTATTTGCTAAGCAAGATAGCCCCACACTTACAGCTGGCAAATTGAAATGTACAGTAATTAAGTGTTTTACTTTAGGTCAGAGCAGAAGACCATGAGATTGGCATGTAAACTTGAAGGGTCTGACATGAGCACTTCTCTGTAGGCATCAACAATTATGTAGGTCAATATCACAGATGAAATCACTTTCATATTAACCATGGTGTGGTTTCCAAATGGAACAGAAGAAAGCAATTCTTTACAAGAAAGATATCTAATACCCATTAGCAATCTTTGTGAAATGCTTTTTAAAGTTATATATTTCCACTGTAATTTATCTTCTTGAATGTAAATGAATACCAATAGAAAGAAGAATTTCCATTAAAGAAGAAAACTAATTCAAAGAGTCAAAAAGTCTCTGCCTAAGACTAAACAGAATAGAGAAAAAGTAACAGGATAGGGAAGATAGTTGTTTCCTTCTTCCCAAAACTACACTCAATAAAAGATTGATTCAGTTTTAGAGATTTTAAGGCTAGGATTCATATATAGCTTTCTGTGAATCCTGAGAGTCAGGAAGCCTGAGCCTGGATGCAAAAAGCCAACCCATGTAATGCAGAAAAGCCAAGCAGGAATGAACCTTCATTACCTACAGCCAAGAACAGAGCCCTCACTAACTCTTAGAGAATAGCACAATATTTCTTTGGATCTTCAAGTTTTCTGGTCTCAGAATTATTTTTGCCAGACTTTTGATATTCAAGGTTAGTAATAAATAAGCATGACTCTCATTTCTACTACCAGTTGTCAACATAAGGCTACCCTCCAACTCCCTACCTCCCTCTTCACTGTGCTGTATATATCCTTATGCTTTCACAACTATTGATCCTACTTTTGACTCTTGACACCATTATCTGTGGAGTTTCTTTCCGTTTTTATAGTCCTAGCTTCTCAACGCTCTACTTTCTATACTCCTATATCCATTCCTCCACAAAATTCTTGTCCTTTTCAAATCTGTTTCTGTTACCCATTCCCAGAGCTACACAGAGGATTAATTCATAACCCTGGTCAATTCAACGTTTTATCAACTACTCCAAACTCTGGTCAGTGTCCTATTCTTTAGCCCTCTCAAGTCTTTTCTTCCACCGCATCTGGTGTTTAACTTCAGAAAGGAATTCAAGACATTGAATCCTCCATTTATAAACCATTTGCTTTTTATCTTTCTTTACCCTGCATGGACACTAGAGATAAATTTCCTGAGCCATACCACACTATTACTAGTCTCATTTAATTCATAATTCTTTTTTCCTCCATTTTCCTACCTGGTAAAACCCTAACCCTGAACCAATGCTTCAAACATCCCTCTCTGTTCTCACACCAAGAGGTTAAGTACTTGAGAAAATCATGCAACAGTACATATTTGTGTCAGTACAAACTCATTCTCCAACCACAGTAAAATCAGCTCTCTTCTAATATCTTCAGTCATTATCTCAAATCCCTTCCATCCCCATTAAACCCCATAATCAACCCTTGCTCTGTACACTGACAAAATATAATCTTGCATCCTATTAAGGTAATCTGGTAAAATCTCTGTTATGTCACTATTAATTCCTATGATGTCCATAGTCACAACTACCAACTTATCAATTTTGTAGCCTTAAAGAGAAACATCCTCATATTATGCAAAGTCAACACTCCATCTGTGCTTCAATTGATCTCCTCTTGCTTGTCATTAATTTTTGTCTTGAAATCCTTTATCTCTAAATTATTCTCCTCATTGTCACTTCTTCTAGCCTAAAAACATGTCCAAGCCTCTTCCAATCCACATGGAGCTAGATTGGACACTGCCAGCCTTTCTTCTTTCTAAGCACCCAAACTTCACAGAGTGGTAAATTCTGTTTTCTAACTCCACTTCCTTAAAGACCACTCAACACACAGCAATCCAGCATCTACCGCCAACATTCTACTCAAATTTCTCTTGCCGAAGTCATCAAGGACCACACAGAATCAAATAAATACTTACTTTCTAGGGTATGGTAGATGCAATTAACACTGTTGATCACACCATCTTTCCTGGATCTCTCCTAAGTGTTATCTCTTTGATACTGTTTCCTGGTGTTTTCTCTCTCTTTATCTCTCTGTCATCTTTATCTCTATCTCTGTCTCTATCTACCTTTATCTCAGTCTCTGTATCTATATATCTCTCCCCTGGGGTTTTCCTCCATTCTCTTTCTGGACAATAGCAACTTCTCTACTCTCATTGTTTTAGTACCACTGTATACTGTTGCATTCCAAGCCTGTCTTTTCAACACAGATCTCTTCCAAGCATCAGACTCACATATGCAACTTTTCGTTAAACATTTCTAGTTAGATATCCTCTAACTTGTTATGCCTAAAACTGAACCTACCTCTTTCCCAAAATTGTTTACCTCCACCTGAATTCTCTTTGGCTCAATCTGTAGGTTATCCTTGATATTTCCTACCCTTTCCACATTCTCTCCTAATGTATATTAATTGCATCCAAGAGACAAATCCTTCTGAAATTACTTTCCACATGTTCTTCATCTGCATCCCTCATCTCCATTTCAACTACCACTGCCCCATTTCAAGCACATATCATCTCTGCACAGATAATTGCAATGACTATCTAAATAGTTTTCTGATTCCAATCAGATTTGCCTCAAATCTCCACATACCTATAAAGGTGAGCAATCTTTCTGAAAAGCAGAACTTACCATGCAACTTCCCTGATTAAAGCCCTCCAGTTGTTTACATACCAACAGTAAAAGTCTCCTAGCATAACATATAAGGACACAGAAGATACTGCATGTTGATTTAAGTTCCCTACATATTTGGATATTAGGCCTTTGTCAGATGCATAGTTTGTGAATATCTCCCACTGTGTATGTTGTCTGTTTGCTCTGTTGATAGTTTATTTTGCTGCATAGGGCTTGTTAGTTTACTTAGGTCCCATTTGTCTATTTTTGTTTTAGTTGCAATTGCTTTTGGGGACGTATTCAAAAATTCTTTGCCAAGTTCAATGTTAGGAAGAGTATTTCTTAAGTTTTATTCCAGGATTTTTGTAGTTTGAGGTCTTACATTTAAATCTTCAATCCATTTTGAGTTAATTTTGTATATGGTGAAAGGTAGAGGTCAGTTTCAATCTTCTACACATGGCTAGCAAGTTATTCCAGCAACATTTATTGAACAGGGAGCCCTTCCCCCATTGCTTGTTTTTATTGGTCTTGTTGAAGGTCAGAGGGTTGTAGGTGTGTGGTTTTATTTCTGACTTCCCTATTCTGTTTCATTGGTCTATGTGTCTATTTTTGTACCAGTACCAAGCTGTTTTGGTTACTGTGGCTTAACTCTATTTAAAAATGGGCAAATACATGAACAGACATTTTTCAAATAAAAACATACAAGTGGCCAATAAGCATATGAAAAAATGCCCAGCATCAGTAATCATCAGAGAAGTGCAAATCAGAATCATAATGAGATACCATCTAACACCAGTCAGAATGACTATTAATAAAAAGTCAAAAAACAAGATACTGGCTAGGCTGTAAAGAAAATGGAACACTTACGCACTGTTGGTGGAAATGTAAATTAGTCCATCCACTGTGGAAGGCAGTCTGGAGATATCTTAAATAACTTAAAACAGAGCTACAGTTTGACCCAGCTGTCTCATTACCAGGTATATACCCCAAAGAAAGTAAGTCATCCTACCAAAAAGACATATGCACTCATATATTCATCACTGCTCTGTTCACAATAGCAGAAACATGGAATCAACCCAGGTGCCCATCAATGGTAGAATGGATAAGGAAAATGTGGTGCATATGCACCATGGAATACTACACAGCCACAACAAAAAGAAATCATGTCCTTTGCAGCAAAGTAGATGAAGCTGGAGACCATAATCCTGAGCAAATTAACACAGGAACAGAAAACCAAAGATTACATGATTTCACTTATAAGTGGGAGATACATACTGAGCACACTTGGACATAAATATAAATGAATAGACACTATGGACTACTAGAGGGTATAGGGAGGTGGATGTGGGTTAAAAAGCATTGCCAAGTCAATCCTAAGCCAAAAGAACAAAGCTGGAGGTATCATGCTACCTGACTTCAAACTATACTACAAGGCTACAGTAACCAAAACAGCATGGTACTGGTACCAAAACAGAGATATAGATCAATGGAACAGAACACAGCCCTCAGAAATAACGCCGCGTATCTACAACTATCTGATCTTTGACAAACCTGAGAAAAACAAGCAATGGGGAAAGGATTCCCTATTTAATAAATGGTGCTGGGAAAACTGGCTAGCCATATGTAGAAAGCTGAAACTGGATCCCTTCCTTACACCTTATACAAAAATTAATTCAAGATGGATTAAAGACTTAAACGTTAGACCTAAAACCATAAAAACCCTAGAAGAAAACCTACGCATTACCATTCAGGACATAGGCATGGGCAAGGACTTCATGTCTAAAACACCAAAAGCAATGGCAACAAAAGACAAAATTGACAAATGGGATCTAATTAAACTCAAGAGCTTCTGCACAGCAAAAGAAACTACCATCAGAGTGAACAGGCAACCTACAAAATGGGAGAAAATTTTTGCAACCTACTCATCTGACAAAGGGTTAATATCCAGAATCTACAATGAACTCAAACAAATTTACAAGAAAAAAACAAACAACCCCATCAAAAAGTGGGCAAAGGACATGAACAGACACTTCTCAAAAGAAGACATTTATGCAGCCAAAAAACACATGAAAAAATGCTCATCATCACTGGCCATCAGAGAAATGCAAATCAAAACCACAATGAGATACCATCTCACACCAGTTAGAATGGCAATCATTCAAAAGTCAGGAAACAACAGGTGCTGGAGAGGATGTGGAGAAATAGGAACACTTTTACACTGTTGGTGGGACTGTAAACTAGTTCAACCATTGTGGAAGTCAGTGTGGCGATTCCTCAGGGATCTAGAACTAGAAATACCATTTGACCCAGCCATCCTATAACTGGGTATATACCCAAAGGATTATAAATCATGCTGCTATAAAGACACATGCACACGTATGTTTATTGCGGCACTATTCACAATAGCAAAGACTTGGAACCAAGCCAAATGTCCAACAATGATAGACTGGATTAAGAAAATGTGGCACATATACACCATGGAATACTATGCAGCCATAAAAAATGATGAGTTCATGTCCTTTGTAGGGACATGGATGAAATTGGAAATCATCATTCTCAGTAAACTATCGCAAGAACAAAAAACCAAACACCGCATATTCTCACTCATAGGTGGGAATTGAACAATGAGATCACATGGACACAGGAAGGGGAACATCACACTCTGGGGACTGTTGTGGGGTGTGGGGAGGGGGGAGGGATAGCACTGGGAGATATACCTAATGCTAGATGACGAGTTAGTGGGTGCAGCGCACCAGCGTGGCACATGTATACATATGTAACTAACCTGCACAATGTGCACATGTACCCTAAAACTTAAAGTATAATAATAAAAGAAAAAAAAATACTGCTCTATCCAAAGACAGAAAAAAAAAAAAGCTATGTATCAGGTACTATGCTCACACTTTGAGTGACAGGATCTGCACTTCAAACCTCAGCATCATGCAATATTCCTGTGTAACAAATCTGCATATGTACCCCCTGTATTTAAAATAAAATAAAAGTTGAATTTTTTTAAAAAAAAAAGATATTGCATGATTGAACTCCTGCTTAACTCTTCTATATCATCTTCCATCATTTTCTTCGATCCACTTGATGCTGAAGTAATACCAAACTTCTTGCCATTGCTCATCATATCCTTTGTTCTTTCTGTACCTCTGCCCTGGATGTTCCTGACATCTGGAAAGCCTGCTTTGTCAGGCCAGTTTCCAGCTCAGACACACTCCCTTCATGAATCTTTCCTTGAACTCCCCTACTTGAGTCAGATACAACTTAGTTGAACCTCCCACACCATCTCTACCCTGGAACTAATTTTTTCAGTTGGGAAGTTTCCTAGGGGAGATGTCCACTCACCAGTAACCTTTCTCAACTACCAAAGATGCTTCAAAATAATATTCCCTCTGGTAAAAGAGTGCTTTGGAAATATTGTTTATGAGCCTTAATTATAAAGTAGGGAGCAATATGTGTTTGTGTAGGGGTATACAAATAGAAAAATATGCCTAATTCCTCTCTATAAACCAATGAAGTGATGGCAGTGAGATCATCAGCTACTTATAATCTGAAGTTAAAACACATGTTCAGAAATGGGATTTTACACAAAATAAAATTATTTGTGATACTACATAAAATTCATATTTCAATATAGTGACTTAGAGTACAGGAAAGCATGGATGACCCTTGTAAGATGTGGCTGCTGCCCAGATATGCACTGATTATTTTAGCTCTATCTAGTTCAGTAGGCAAAATTAGAAAAAGCTGCCAAGGAAGCTCTGCACAAATGACTTCAACATTATTGTGCAAAGAATCAACCTGTTACCCCAGTATCCAAGGAGGCCCCAGATGGCTAAAGACATTTTCACTCCCACATGAGACTTTTGCTGGTGCAGGCAAGAACCCCTCTCTCCCACAGTGAGTCCTTCTCCTCTCTTCCTTCTCTGTTTCTTCTGGCTACATTTAAAAGGTACATGGGAGAAAAGGTTGCTATAAAACACGTTAGACACCCACAGCTGCTTGCTCCCTTTTTACTTGTGGTTCTGTTTCTATCTTGCCTTTTAGTAAAATAAACCACATATTTCCTTTTACAAGCTAGATTACAAAGACATTTCTGAGTGCTATAAACAAAATGTAGTGGCAAGCAGAGGATTTGGTGAAAGGGGATGTTAGGCAGCAATCCCCACATAAACTCCAAGTACTCCAGAATCAATTAATTTAGCAAGCAACTGCTTTAAAATGCAAATGCTCTCCGGGGATATTAAACATATCCATTGTTTTTCATAGAACCTACAGCTCTTAGAATTATTTATTTGTTTGTTTGCTTATTTGTCATCTCGTTCCTGCCTTTTTCCACTAAAAATCAGGTTCTAAGGTTTCAGCAACCTCATCTGTCTTTTCCCACAAATGTACCCCCAATACATATATTTAAGTGACTGAATGAATCCTTAACTTATGTGGAGTGACTCTTAGCTTCATGTAGGAGAGTCTTGCTGTTAATAAAGAGTTAGAGATAGAGGGTAAGAGATTTTAGAGAGTAGAAAATGTTACAGGAGGATATCCACAGTTGATACTGTGTAGTGGTGAGGATCCTCGTAGGCAAGAATGCTGGAGGTTTTTCCATTAGACTGCATGATTCTTGGGTGCAGACAGTAATCTAAGAACTTGATCTAAAATAAAGGTGGGTGTCATGAATAAACTGGAAAGCATTTTTGGACAGCATTTTACTGACCAAAAAAACACCACCATAAAGTAATTGGTGTACGTGTGTGTGTGTGTACCATATACTTTGTCCACTTTGCAATATTTTCTAAGATCTTGTTGTTGCCTGTGCAAAACTAAAAGTCATCTTAGTGTCATTGCACTAGACTATTATTGCTTGGAAGAGCAAACACACATAATAAAGAATAATATAGAATGATAATAAAAATGGAGACTCTTGACATATGCTAATATTATGGTCTAAGACACTTAGTACATTTCAAAGCTCTACACTTGGAAGTCCAGAAAACAAGAAGCAGAGTTTGCTAAGAAGGTCTGTGTTTTAAAATCAACTGCCTGAAAATAATCTTTAGTTGGGAAGAATCTCAATTCGAAAAAGAATAGAGGCTTAGTGTAAAAATTTGCACCTGCAGTTAGTGGTAAAGCCAAACTTTGCAGGGTTTAAATCATGTGGTAATGCTGCAGCCAAGCAACTATGGGTCCAAGAAATTAAATTACAATCCTGTATTGGTTCTACAAGGTGATAACTAATGTAACAGCTGTTTCTTCCTTAAGACTGTTAATATGAAGATAGAATGTTTTCATTTTCTCATTTTAAATATTGATTTTTGTTCACCTTACTAGTCAGGCATACCAGACTCATTTGCTGTTTGATGTATTTTGTACTGTTGTAAATATATCTACTTCAATAAATTATATAGTTTTGATAAACTCTCCCAGGTATAACACAATGAGACTGTTTGAGTAGCTTGCCAGCATCTTCCACTCTCTGCCCATTAAATATATGACATTATAACAGGAAGAAAACATCACTAGCCCCCATAACACCCTTCTGTTTTGAACATTT
This sequence comes from Homo sapiens, assembly GCF_000001405.40. NCBI lineage: Eukaryota > Metazoa > Chordata > Mammalia > Primates > Hominidae > Homo > Homo sapiens. The sequence goes on along the minus strand of NC_000005.10, from coordinate 97,638,940 downwards.
AGAATGACTGCACCATGTGTGTAAGTGCTCTTTCCACTGTGGCCAAAATAGAAAAGACATTTCGCAGGGACATTTCCAGTTATACAAATTAACAGATGAATTGTTTAATATAAAGTGAATAAAATGCCCTAAGATTATGACTATAAAATAAAAGAGATTTCCTCCTGTGATCTATTTACATTAAAAACACAGTCAATGATTTAAAAAGAAAAAGACGGCAAAATCCTTAGATTTTAGAAAGAAAAATTGAAAAGTTTACCTAAATCATCTGTAACTGTGTAGAATATCACTGTGATTTATTTAAATATTCTACAGTTGCTACTGCCTAGTTATACAATGCTGCTTCCTCTTTCTCCTCCTGAAAGTAGAATCCATTTCTCTAACTATAAACAAATAACCCAGCCTTGGCAAAACCTTACTAAACCTTGGGCCACGGCACTCGGTCCTAGTGATTGGGACAAAACCTGAGCATGTGATCTGAAGCAGGCCAATTAGAGTTCTTCCCTAGGTTTCAAAGTTTTATTGAAGACATTCTTCTTGATGAAGGGTTGCAAAGACATATTCCCACTGATACTAACATCCATGTTTCTTACCACATGAAGAATCCCAAAAATGCCTTTGCCTACAGACCAGCAAAGATAAGAGACTAATGGTGAGTAGTTAATGTCATACAAGTTCCTTACCCTGACCAAAGTAACGCACTTATCCAGGCATGCAACTACCCCATTTCTCAGCCATCATTCTCCCTATTTGTTTTAGCCACTTTGAATTGGGCTTCACTTTTCACTAATGGGGCTCTAACTAAAATATCTTTGATATAGTTTAGATATTTATGTCCCTACCCAAATCTCATGTTGAATTGTAATCCCCAGTGCTGAAGGTGGGGCCTGGTAAGAGGTGTTTGAATCATAAGCACGGGTCCCTCAAGGTTTGGTGCTGTCTTCATGATAGTGAGTGAGTTCTCATGAGATCTGGTCATTGAAAAGTGTGTGGCATTTCCCCCACCCCAACCCTGATACTTCTTTCACCATGTGAAGTACCTACTCCTGCTTTGCCTTCTGCCATGAGTAAAAGCTCCTTGAGTCCTCCCTAGAAGCTGAGCAGATGCCAGGATCATGCTTACTCTAAAGCCTGCAGAATAATGAGCCAATTAAATCTCCTTTCTTTATACATTACCCAGTCTCAGGAATTTCTTTATAGAAATGTGAGAATGGTCTAATACAATCTTATTTTAAAGTACTCCATCAAAGATACATTAATAGAAGTTATTCTTCTCCTTATAAGAGGCATTTGGGTTATGAAGTATAATGGAGTCAAGGGCTTTGACAAGAGACAGACATGAGTTCAAACCATAGCTCTTCCATTTACAAGCAGTGTGACTTTGAAATTTCCTTAGTTTCTATTAGTCCCTGTTTCCTCCTCCATAACATGAAGATAATAGCACTGACCATGTAGGAGATTTCTGTGAGATTTAGATAATAGATGTGTTCATAGCCCACAATAACTAAGTGGTAGCTATTAGTATGTTTTCCATTTTACAGATAAAAACACAGGGATTCAAAGATGTCAAGTAACATATTAAGATGACCAAAAATTAAATGGCATGGTCAGAACTGGAATCCAGGTCTATTTGTCTTCAAAATTCCTAGTCCTTCAAGTATACCTGGTTGCCACACAGGATAAGGAAGAAATGAGAGGAAGAAGAGAGATAAAAAGATTTATTTTCTAACCAAGAAGCCACACCTAATTTACTTTAGAATTAAACCACATCTGGTACACATCACTTATGATTTAAGGGACTTATTCTGAAAAATACCTTACATTTCGGTAAATACTGTAAGTAAGATGAGTATCATCTACAGGAAAAAAAGATTAAAGTTGGAGCCAGAGCCTCAGTAAAGCCAAGGACAAACAAATGCATGCAACTCATCTAGTGTTTCCATGCTTAACTATTTGTATAAACAAACTGATTTCTGTGCACATCTGGCACTGCAATGTACACTATGCCTCATCTCTACTTTCGCATCTTAAATGTGATAACTTAGAATCCATTGCAATGTTGAAGGCTTCAAAAGAAGACCTCACAATTCATAAAAAATTTCACAAAGGACGAGAAAGGCTGGCGTGACTCAGAGTAGAGAATGGTGGCTTCAGTGAGTACTCACCACAACCTCAATCCCAAGTCTTTTACTTTTGAAGTTAACATATAAGATGTCAAATCATTTCCAAAGGTCATTTAGGTACAATTATACTTGAATTATTAACCTTAATGAGATTTACTCTCTCAGCCCTTCTCTTTGTCTTCCTCATTGTCTCCTGCTGCTGCCCCTATCACAACACCATATATATGTTGTTCTACTACGCAAACACTCAGAAACCAGATAGTGAGAGAGATTCTCATCAGTGGCTCAATAAATATAACAGCATCACAATGCTTCACAAACAAAACTGTCCAAAGTGGAATTATCAATTGGTGAAGACAACATGGTTGCTGGTCATCCCTTTATCACCAACAAAGGACCAGCAGGTGGTTGAACTGTTGTCTTATTGCTTGATTAAACCAGAATGTAACAAGTCATTATTAGAAGTCATTAACTTAGGAAATAATATAATAAATAAGGTTTCAGTACTTTGATTCTATACAACTGTGATGATTAGAATATATATCATAACAAAAAGGAAGATATATAGCATGGAAATGACTTGATTGGCATTATAAGGGAGTGTTTTCCAAGTCAGGACCCCTTTTGATAAAACAGTCCAACTCTTCAACAGAAAAGCTCTTGGTACAACACTAAATAGGGAAAAGTGGATGCAGGCGTATCTCCATCTAATACCCCTGAGTGGCCTTATCCTTTCAGAGTTTCTACTTTGATTACTATTGCCTCTATCACTGTTGGCTCTCAATGGGATGTGGCTCTACTTTATAAATCTAGCTTTTCATTAGTTCCCATTATCCCAGCAAGAGGGGCTAGAATTGTCAAAGTGAACATTATAAACCATTAAGGAAGAAAAAAATACACTAAGAAAATACAAAAAGCATTTGTCACAGAATTCAGAATGGGGCATTTTCCTTGTTTCTCACATTTCAGCCAAAGTTTCAAAACTGAAAGCAATAAAAGATGTTTCTACGTTCTAAAGGGAGACCACAAGAAACCACCAGATACTAACCCCATCTCTTCAACAGATTGCTATGAAGTGGCCAGACTTGTTCTCCACTTTCACTTTCATCCAGGGGATTATTTAAAAGAAGTGTCATGTTAGCCAGGTATGGTGATGCACACCTGTAGTCCCGGCTACTTGGGAGGCTGAGGCAGGAGGATTTCTTGAGGCTGCACAGATCACACCACTGAACTCTGGCTTGGGTGACCAAGCAAAGCTCCATCTCTAAAACAAAAATTAACATTTTTTTTTAAAGAAGTGCCATGTCTTGTTCTCTCAAGTTTCCGTGCACTGGTTGCTTTTTAACTCTTTTACCCACAAATGAAAGGAGTGACACCAAGAAAAAACACTATGGATTTTAGAGGCACCCATATGAATAAATAGGTGTCTCAGTCCCCTGGTGGACACTTCCTCAACTGTGACAATCACTAGGCTCAATCCAACTAGCATAGGAGAAAGAGTCATGTTTCCTCCAGAGTCTGGGGATATATTAGAACCAAGAGGCAAGAATACATTTATTTTGGGAGGCCGAGGCAGGTGGATCACCTGAGGTCAGGAGTTCCAGACCAGCCTGGCCAACATGGTAAAACCCCGTTTTTACAAAACATATAAAAATTAACCAGGTGTGGTGGTGCACAGCTGTAGTCCCAGATACTTGGCAGGCTGAGGCAGAAGAATTGCTTGAATCCAGGAGGTGGAGGTTGCAGTGAGCCAAGATCATGCCACTGCCCTTCAGCCTGGGCGACTGAGTGAAACTCTGACTCAAAAAAAAAAAAAAAAACCAAACCAAGAAAACATTTATTTCATGAATAATTCTGGCTACAGGAGAATGTCTGGATCACTCCAAATTTTTAGGACGGGAAGAAAGGGCAGTAGGGACAAGTTCTCCTGGTGTGGCAAAGATGCACACATTTCCTGAAGATAAAGTGGATACCACAGAAAACAACAAATTTGAGTCTTTTTTGAGACAGTTTCACTCTGTCACCCAGGCTGAAGTGCAGTGGTGTAAGTATAGTTCACCGTAGCCTGGAACTCCTGGGCTCAAGCAATTCCCTGCCTTAGCCCCCTGAGTAGCTGAGACTTCAGGTGCATGCCACCATGCCCAGCTAATAAATAAATAAATAAATAACTTTTTTATAGACAGGGTCTCACTATGTTGCCCAGGATGGTCACAAGTTCCCAGCCTCAAGTGATTCTTCCACCTCAGCCTCCCAAAGCACTGGGATTACAGGCATGAACCTCCATGCCAGACTAATTTGAACTGCCATGCCAGACTCAAGAAGGAAGTCTTCTAAGTGAAGCTTGCCAGCAGTGGGATACTGTAGGACCTTCACGAAATGTACCACCAAGAGAGCATGTCACCCAAGCTAGAAGACTGCACAGGTGGTACATGTGGATCATCAGTTGCCTGATATAGGGGATCTGAAGAACACAAGTGGGTCCACAAGAGAACCAGAGATCTAATGTCAGTCTCACCAAAGGTTACAGAGTGGGGAAAATTATAAGAACATCAGCTTAGGAAGAAACTTCTGCACCCATTTTATCAAACTCCTCTTCCCAATGCTAAAACCCTAGAGAATCTGGAACACATAAAAATAAAGAGTAAAAGAAAAGTCCATACTGTCTTCTCTCTGGAAGGTTCCCAATTCCCAGATGAACAAAAGGTACAGCCTATTTAGGATACTCTTTTATTTTTTTTTCAAAATAGTATATTTTTTATTATTTAAAATTGTGAAATATTCAAACTAATCTCTAATAACAGAAAGTAAATCAGTGGTTACCTGAAGGGAGACATGGGTAGGGAATCAAAGGTAGGGATTACAAAAGAGACATGAGGAAACTTTCTGGAGTGATAAATAGGTTCAATATCTTGAGTGTAATGTCAATATCACAGGTGTATATGTACATCAAAATTTATCAAATTGTAGATTTTAAACATGTGTTTTATTATATTACAATTAGAACTCAATAAAGCTATTAAGAAACAAAATATAATTACTTTTAGCATGTTCAATGAATACTTAAATATGAACTGTAAATTTCCACAGACTTTCCCTCTATAAATTTGCAGATAATATTGCATACTCTGGATACCTGTAACAGATGTAAAAATTATATAAGAAGGTTGCATTTTCCTGCCTACAGAAGTCATATTTTAATGAATTTGGAGCATGGGGATCATTGCACTTCTTGAATTTAGACCTACTTATTCATGCATGCAATGTTTATACTGCAATATTAACATACTGTGTTGGTTTTTTTTTTTTTATTATACTTTAAGTTTTAGGGTACATGTGCACATAGTGCAGGTTAGTTACATATGTATACATGTGCCATGCTGGTGCGCTGCACCCACTAACTGGTCATCTAGCATTAGGTATATCTCCCAATGCTATCCCTCCCCCCTCCCCACACCCCACCACAGTCCCCAGAGTGTGATATTCCCCTTCCTGAGTCCATGTGATCTCATTGTTCAATTCCCACCTATGAATGAGAATATGCGGTGTTTGGTTTTTTGTTCTTGCGATAGTTTACTGAGAATGATGATTTCCAATTTCATCCATGTCCCTACAAAGGAGGTGAACTCATCATTTTCTATGGCTGCATAGTATTCCATGGTGTATGTGTGCCACATTTTCTTAATCCAGTCTATCATTGTTGGACATTTGGCTTGGTTCCAAGTCTTTGCTATTGTGAATAGTGCCGCAATAAACATACGTGTGCATGTGTCTTTATAGCAGCATGATTTATAGTCCTTTGGGTATATACCCAGTAATAGGATGGCTGGGTCAAATGGTATTTCTAGTTCTAGATCCCTGAGGAATCGCCACACTGACTTCCACAATGGTTGAACTAGTTTACAGTCCCACCAACAGTGTAAAAGTGTTCCTATTTCTCCACATCCTCTCCAGCACCTGTTGTTTCCAGACTTTTTAATGATTGCCATTCTAACTGGTGTGAGATGGTATCTCATTGTGGTTTTGATTTGCATTTCTCTGATGGCCGGTGATGATGAGCATTTTTTCATGTGTTTTTTGGCTGCATAAATGTCTTCTTTTGAGAAGTGTCTGTTCATGTCCTTTGCCCACTTTTTGATGGGGTTGTTTGTTTTTTTCTTGTAAATTTGTTTGAGTTCATTGTAGATTCTGGATATTAGCCCTTTGTCAGATGAGTAGGTTGCAAAAATTTTCTCCCATTTTGTAGGTTGCCTGTTCACTCTGATGGTAGTTTCTTTTGCTGTGCAGAAGCTCTTGAGTTTAATTAGATCCCATTTGTCAATTTTGTCTTTTGTTGCCATTGCTTTTGGTGTTTTAGACATGAAGTCCTTGCCCATGCCTATGTCCTGAATGGTAATGCGTAGGTTTTCTTCTAGGGTTTTTATGGTTTTAGGTCTAACGTTTAAGTCTTTAATCCATCTTGAATTGATTTTTGTATAAGGTGTAAGGAAGGGATCCAGTTTCAGCTTTCTACATATGGCTAGCCAGTTTTCCCAGCACCATTTATTAAATAGGGAATCCTTTCCCCATTGCTTGTTTTTCTCAGGTTTGTCAAAGATCAGATAGTTGTAGATATGTGGCGTTATTTCTGAGGGCTCTGTTCTGTTCCATTGATCTATATCTCTGTTTTGGTACCAGTACCATGCTGTTTTGGTTACTGTAGCCTTGTAGTATAGTTTGAAGTCAGGTAGTGTGATGCCTCCAGCTTTGTTCTTTTGGCTTAGGATTGACTTGGCGGTGCGGGCTCTTTTTTGGTTCCATATGAACTTTAAAGTAGTTTTTTCCAATTCTGTGAAGAAAGTCATTGGTAGCTTGATGGGGATGGCATCGAATCTGTAAATTACCTTGGGCAGTATGGCCATTTTCACGATATTGATTCTTCCTACCCATGAGCATGGAATGTTCTTCCATTTGTTTGTATCCTCTTTTATTTCATTGAGCAGTGGTTTGTAGTTCTGCTTGAAGAGGTCCTTCACATCCCTTGTAAGTTGGATTCCTAGGTATTTTATTCTCTTTGAAGCAATTGTGAATGGGAGTTCACTCATGATTTGGCTCTCTGTTTGTCTGTTGTTGGTGTATAAGAATGCTTGTGATTTTTGTACATTGATTTTGTATCCTGAGACTTTGCTAAAGTTGCTTATCAGCTTAAGGAGATTTTGGGCTGAGACAATGGGGTTTTCTAGATATACAATCATGTCATCTGCAAACAGGGACAATTTGACTTCCTCTTTTCCTAATTGAATACCCTTTATTTCCTTCTCCTGCCTGATTGCCCTGGCCAGAACTTCCAACACTATGTTGAATAGGAGTGGTGAGAGAGGGCATCCCTGTCTTGTGCCAAGGATACTCTTAAGTATTCTACATAGTAGCTAACATTGAAAACAAGACAAATTAATGCCATTGACCTGGACCCAGAAAAACATTCAGTTCAAGCTTATTGTCTTAATAAAGTTAAAATTTCCTAGTGAAGCATTTAAGGTTCTTCACTATCTAGTCTGTATTTGTTCTCCTTTCTTATCTCCTCTCACTCATCTTGAAGACTGACCCCTAAGTCTTATCTTAAAAGTACTTTTTACTTTCTTTGCCTTTTACCACACACAGTGCCATGTCACATCTCCATACATGCACTCATCATTTTCTCTTCTCGTTCTCACCAGTTCCACCTTTCCATTCCCTAGAGACCCAGGTCAAATGTCTCCCCCATTGCCAGCCTTACCTAAATCCCAAGGGCAGAATCAATTATACTCTGGCCTGTCCCCCACTGTACCTTCTTCAGACTGCTAGTAATCACAGCATTTATTCCACTGGAGTTCCACTAGTTACTTTAATGAAGGCCTCCCCAGTAGATCATGAGAAGTGAAACCTGTCTCCTCTATCTGTTTATTCCTGACTCACTAAGCACAGTCTCTACTCACAAAGAAGACATGCGCTGCACACTTATTAAATGCAGGAGTGAATAAATTACCATAGACAAAATTACTAGGTTCACATATTCCATGTTCTTTTTGAGGCTAAAGAGGCTAGAGCTACCATTTTCATTATTGCTATGCTGGTGAAAAACAAAACACAAAAACTTACAACCAGCCTTTCTTTTTTATTTTCCAAACAAGAAAAGTAGTCTACGGAAGTCTATGTCTAGGTCGAAACCACATAATGATTGATATAAGTAGCAACACTAGAACCCAGTTCTCCTGGCCACTAAAAATAATCAAGCTTTTAGACTTTCTACAGCTTTCCTCCAGATTGTGAGTAAATGAGAGAAGAAGTCATTGTAAATACTGTTTATGGATGTACCTTCAGTGCCTACAAAGTGCCTGACACATAAATTCAATAAATATTTATCCAATACATGAAGAAATAAATAAATGCAAATGTTGTACCTACTAAATCTCCTAAGAAAGATTCCAAATTAAAACAAGCCAACAAATCAATTACATTTTTATCCATAAAAATAAAATCACTGGGCTGGGCGCTGTGGCTCACACCTGCAATCCCAGCACTTTGGGAGGCCAAGGTGGGCGGATCACAAGGTCAGGAGTTCAAGACCAGCCTGGACAACATAGTGAAACCCCATCTCTACTGAAAATACAAAAAAAATAGCCGGGTATGGTGGCACATGCCTGTAATCCCAGCTACTCGGGAGGCTGAGGCAGGAGAATCACTTGAACCTGGGAGGCGGAGGTTGCAGTCAGCTGAGATTGCGCCACTGCACTCCAGCCCATGCAACAGTGTGAGACTCCATCTCAAAAATAAATAAATTAATTAAATTAAATCACTGAAGTTCCTAAATGGAAACAATGCAGAGATAACATCAAAATTCCAACTTCAAGGTTTCCTTGAAGCCTTACATGTGTTTGATGGAAAATTTCCTCTTTTGCTTTCCTGAGAGCATTTTAATATATATATATATATATATATAGTGTGTGTGTGTGTGTGTGTGTGTGTGTGTAAAAGAAGACAGAGATTGAAATCAATTAACCTGAAGAACGTTGTATCCTAAGGATTTGAAGTGAGGAAATAGAATTTATATTTAAATATCAATGGTTGTAATACATTATTTTGGAAATTTATTAATATCACTTATGGAAAATATAGAGATGACTGACTAAAAAAAAAAAGCACAAGTTTGCAAACTTCCATATTTAAGAGTGATAGGATCTGAATCCAAAATGTCTGTGGACATCTAGAGTGGGCCCTTCTGACAGCCTTAGAGCTGGAACAACTGTCAGCATTGTGTGCTCTGGGGCCTGGCCATCTGCCCTGCCCTTTGGAGGAGCAGGAAATTATGAGAAATAGTCATGGGTTAGAAGAATTTGTGGGGGTGGCATCCTTGGAAGGATCTCGCGACAGTGCTGGTTGCCATAGCGCTATGATCTGGCATTTCCAGTGAGGAGAGATCTGAAATCTGCCTGCCATGCCAGAAAGTGGAGGCGGCAAGAAAAGAGGTACAATTCACAATGTGAAAAAATTTGGAAAGCACTAAACCACACTTTTAAGAGTCAGGAAGGGCTATCTATTTTTTTAATACTGCAAATTATCTTCTTGACATGTGATCTGAAGTTTATCAACTTTCAAAAGACAATTTGAGTGTCAGCTAAGCCGTGAACTGTCCGCAGGCATGTGCTCGAACAATTGTATTGCTATTGCTTTTGCTGGATTTTTGTATTCTCCAATTCATCTTGCAGACCATTTTCAGTTTTCCTTCACTAACAAGATACACATCCTGTTTAATTTAAACCAGAAAGACAGAAGGGCAATGAGACAGCATCTGAGGACTTCTCACTTAGAAAATTGTATTAAATTCTTAATCTGCTTGCTGAACAGAGCTCCAGGAACATGTTTTCTCTGAATATATTTCACTAAAGAGAAAGTGCCTGCTGCATTGCCTCCCTGCTGATCATCTCATGTCACAATGGATGCACATTTTCTGCATAGTAATTGATGGCCTCAGTCCCTATAGAAAGGGAGGATGGAGCTAGCCCAGCAATTTAATAACCTATCATTATATACACCTCCAGCATGGGATTTGGGACCTCTCTACATAAGCCAAATGAGGTCTGTGCTTTCTCATTGGAATTTTAGGATTTATTAATCCCTTTTATGCTCTTCTCATGAGTAGTCCAGTCTCAATTTCACTTACAACAAGGCTCTTCTCACCTCTCACCAGCCAGATGTTTATTATTATAGAAAAGAATTACATCTTACACATTTGCATAGTACTTATTGATTCTAGTTTCTATGACACTGTGAATTCTGAGAGCCCAATAAATGAAAGTTTAAATAATCCTCATGTACCTGAGACTCGGTTATATGATGATTTGGTGTAAGAAAAAGGAAAGAGCTGAAGACTGTAGAGGTATAAAGAGGATCAAGAGATTTGCCTGACAGTAGCAAGGCAGCAGAGTTAATTTTGTGAAGACAAGCAAGTTGTTTGAATTTTTTTTCTTTTTCAATTTTTTCCTGACACTCCTTGTTTCTGTAAAACCAGGGGTAAGAGACAACATCTGGAAGGAAAGACAGTGAGACACGGGTAATGTGGCTGCAGCCTGCTGGCTGCCATTCAGATATCTGCCAGATGAATGAAGGCTGCAGAAGCTTGCCTGACATGACATTCACTTAACAGGATTACAAAGAGCACTCCAAAATGCACATTTTCATAAGTATTTCTTTCAACTGAATTTTATTTATTTTGTTTCTCTCATTTCTGATCAACTGGAAGTGAGTATTTCCACAGATATTTCCTGATGTCATGTAAAATAAAGCATAAAAATCTTCCAATAAAATAAGCATGTAATTCTTTGAGACTGACAAACTCATCTTTTAGTTAAAAGGCTTAGATAAAACATAATATTTCTCTCTGAAGCTGGAACTTAAAGGCAACATCAAAAGTGAAGGGGCTTCTATTAAATATAATTAGTTTTTACAGAACCCACAGGTCAAATTAAAGCACAGATTCTAAGCTTGGGCACCAATTCCAAGAATTAAGTTTACATTATTTCTTTATTCCCACTTTCCAGTCCGTTTCTACTCACCTTTCCAGATGTATCTCTTGGTAACTTCTGATACTCCTACCTCTTTTTCCTCACCCCCTCAGGCCCATTGTTCCACCTCTGGCAAACCGCTCCATCCAAGAGTACCTAATTTACTTTCATTTGTCACTATCTTTTGCATGTGGCGATTTCTCTGCTTAGAACTGCAGCCTCCCACTGCTCCAGCTGAGAAATTCCTACTTTTTTAGAGCCTTCCCTGTTTGCTTCAGGCAGTTAGTGCTTCCATCTTTCTTGCATTAACAAGATTGTTATTATCTCATTTTATATGCACACATGCATTTTTGTATCCTAGCCATTATACCACAAGAGGAGGCCCAAGTTGGGAGAAAGCTTCATGTGGGGAGAATCCTGCTTTGCAATCACATCTGCAAATCCATTGCATAGAAGCCAGTACAAAAGAAAAGCCTTAGCTTAACTGTTATATAATATTGGGCAAGTCACTTGAACTCTCCGAGCTTTAATTTCCCCAACTGTAAATTCAGTACAATAAAAGTTCCTAAATTATGAGGTTTCCAGAATAAAATAATATGTGTAAATATGCCACATTTACTTTAAAGTGTTACGAGAATTTGACAAATGGAAGAGTAGAAACCATTCCCATGTTGTTATTTCTCTAGTATACCCTAGATATCAACATTTTAATTATTTTAAAAGCATGCTGATGTTCTTATTGGTATTCTTCTGTTAATAAAGTAGGAATCTAAGTTTAAAAATCATCCCTGTTCTCAGTACTCTCCTTCTCCTTCTTGAAACTCGAAAGCCTGTTTCCATTGTGAAGCTTTTAAATTGAGATTATAAATATTTATATATTTCCCTGAATTATCCTCAAAACAAAAAATATTAACCCTTGTTTTGAATTTTTTTTTGACATTTTAGAGTCTCACGAAAATGAACAGTAATTAATAAAGATTGTAAGTCTTCCCTCACTTCCAATGTTGGCCAATAACTCTTAGCCTCATGAGAACTTCTGAAGGCAATGAGAATTTTTGCTGTGGAGAATAGAGAAACACAGAGAGAATAAGCTTTAGACAGCTCAGAACATTCACTCAAAACAGATCCCTCCTCTCCTGTGCCTTGCAATCACCAGGCAAACACCATAAATTCTGTTATATCAACAAGTCAGTTGTCAAGGAGCATCAGGCCTACTGGTTATGGAAGGATATATTAGACTCTGGGTGCTGGTCTTAAACATAGCATCAGTGCCAGCCGGGCTCGGTGGCTCACGCCTGCAATCCCAGCACTTTGGGAGGCCGAGACAGCAGATCACGAGGTCAGGAGATCGAGACCATCCTGGCTAACACGGTGAAACCCCATCTCTACTAAAAATACAAAAAAATTAGCCGGATGTGGTGGCAGGCGCCTGTAGTCTCAGCTACCCAGGAGGCTGAGGCAGGAGAATGGCATGAACTCAGGAGGCAGAGCTTGCAGTGAGCCAAGATGACGCCACTGCACTCCAGCCTGGGCGACAGAGCGAGACTCCATCTCAAATAAACAAACAAACAAATAAACAACAACAACAAAAACATAGCATCAGTGTCTCAGGGTCTAAGACCTTTCAAGGGTCCCAGATAGAGATAAAGGTTATGCCATAATTCATGAATTTTCCTTCAGAATATTTAGATTACTTTTGGAGGATTCATGTAATATGTTCTTTTCAATGTGGATGTCCTAAGGTCTTTACTCTGCTGTTCTTAGGATTGTTCTATTAGGCCTTGGAATTTCACTCTTATGGGCATAGAAGAAAAGGCCTATTTAGCTCTAGTAATACAGTCTTTTATTTTTAAAAAAATATATACGCCGTAAGGTTTGCTTTTGTTTGAATATGCCTTCCCATTAGTTTTACCTATATGAGCATCGTTCATAGGACTGTAAGAAGGTAATATCTTCCCATCTGGTGCAATACTCACGGGTGCTCTAAAGACACTATTTAATGGTATGAAATAAATCTCTCTAAAGAGTCTTAGTCCCATTTTCTCCAATGTAGTATGTTTTTAGCTTTAAGCCAGTCCCAAGATTACTTCATCTTTAAAATGATATTTTCTGATTCAGAAATAAAAGGCAAAATGAAACATTGCCAGGAAGTGGGTTGTACAGCAAGTATGGAAAACACTAAACCATATCAATGAATTCTTCCAAATTCCGAACAGCTATCTCCCCATAACTAACTTGAAGTAAGTCTGGCAACTAAATGATTTATTGATCTTTACTAACTATGACCAAATTATTTCATTTAATTTTAAGCTCATAAGATCTTAAGTGTTCTTAAGTGTCTCAATACACAAATTTTTGCCTAAGAAAAACTACCGGTGGTCGTCAGTTTATAAAAAAGCAGTACAATCCAATTTGCTGGCAAAATTAGACCTAAGGAACTTCTCAGCAAAAGCAAGTATGAGGATTCAGTAGGGCTGTTACTCCACGATTCTAGGCAATTTTTTGGTCCTTCTTTAAAATTATTGAATGAAAACAAGAAAAACAAAGAAACCTTACAGTTCCACCTGGCTCTATCCTCTTTATTTTCACATCAGCAGAATGAAAGGCTTTTCAAAATCCAACACTATGGTTGAAAATGGCCCCAATTGCCCTATAAATGCTTTACTGTTCATTCTGAAATTTTTTCCCTCACAGCATAATCTCCAAATGGCTACAATGAGGCAATCTCAGATAAACTAAATGCCAGTATAACAGTATGAGGGCTGCAAAAAATCAAGAGAAACATCTCTATGAGACATACAGAGCAGAAGTGTTTCCAAGAATAATAAATGTGTAGTCTAATTTTTCCAGGTTTTGGGAGAAGCTATTTCTGTTTGGTTTAGTATTTTTTCCTTTATCATTTTTCTCTTGTAGATCAGAAAATAAATAATTTGTTTCAAGAGAGGCCCTGTTAAGATAACTGAATCATTCCATCACATATATTTGTCCTGCATCTATCCCTCAGGAGAGTCAATTATCCTGTTAAACTTGTAGGTTGGCTGCCAAAGAGTTGGAGGAGGAAAGGTCTAGAAGTTCTTATAATCTGGAAAGAACACACTGGGCATTTATACATAATTAAGCTACAGTCTACTTGCAGAAAGTTGGCTATATAAGTCAATAAGGAATTGCTCTATTACCACATGCAACAGAAAGGTGAATTCAGTGCCTCAATCATCATCCTTTTCTACACAGAGACTCTTGTTTTGTACAAGTGTTTGCTTTGGGAGAACAAAGTAGGGCTTAGCGAAGAGTGAAAATGCTTAGCTTTATTTTTGTAAAGGAGTAAAGATTATGAGTTCACATCAATTTTAGGCTATCTGTCAAATACTGAGGAATTTGAAAGATGAGTGAAATCCGTAGTTTTGTTAGGCTCTTTTTACTTGCTTGAACAAAATCATGCCCTGTCTGGTTTCTTCAACTGATGGGGTGGGGTTTAATTATTAAGTGCACCTGAGGAGGTAACAGGTCTTAGCAAATGGCCTCAACAGTGGTACATCAGACCTCAGACAGCAGCATTCTGGATGCTACAGAAACTCTAGAGCACAGTAAAAATACTGATACATCTCTGTTGTCACAGCTGAGCTTCTCCGTGTGTCTGTTGTTAGTGCTTCATGGCTTCTGTCTAGTGTCTCTTGACTTTTGATTCTTATTTATCTGTCTGTATCTCTTTATGGGATTCACATTCTCAAAAACTATTTTTAAAAAACTCTGATTGACTCAAATAGTCACTATGCACTTGTAATTAGGAAGATAAAATTTATAAGAAATACTTGCATTACATTTTGTGATCAAAGTGGGGCCACCAAATGATAGACAACATCATGGTGAAGGCAGGGACCTAAGGAACTGCAAGAAAATCTTCATTTCCATTCTTTATTATTATAATTATCTTCCATTATCACTGAACTTTTAAATAACAGTTATACTTCTAAAAAATCTGTTTCAGGCCTTGCCACTGTACACTCACTAGCAGCCCCCCATCCCCACCCCACCTGAGTGCTTTTGCTGGCAGTCCCTGATGAAGCGGCATTGCCAGCAGCCTAGGAATATATCAGCTTTTTCAGCACAACAGGTGTTTGACCACAAGGGGCCAGAGATCAAAATTGCAGGCCTGATCCCAGCCCCCGAGGGTTAGAGCATGCAGCCCAGGAGTACTGAGCTAACCACTGGTGCCCTGATAGCATCCAGAAATGAATCCAAATGACTAAACCCAACTTATACCACAGTTAAACTGTCGAGGGGACCAAAAAATATAAAAGCAAAACATTCCATCCAAAGGACAGCAACTTCAATGATTAAAGGTAAATCAGCCCACACAGATGAGAAAAACCATCATAAGAATTCTCACAACACTAAAAGCCAGAGTGTCTTCTTACCTCCAAATGACTACACTTGCTCACTAGAAACTGTTCTTAACTAGATTGAAATGGCTGAAATAACAGACATAGAATTCAGAATCCTGCTGGCAAGGAAGCTCAACGAGATTTAGGATAAGGTTGAAACCCAATCAAAGGAAACCAGTAAGATGATCTAAGAGTTGAAAGATAACATAGCCATTTTAAGAAAGAACTAAAAGGAACTTCTGAAAATGAAAAATTTACTACAGGAATTTCATAATGCAATTGGAAGCATTAATGACAGAATTCATCAAGCTTACAAAAGAGTCTCAGAGCCCAAAGACCACTCATTTAAATCAATGCAGGGAGATAAAAATAAAGAAGAAAGAACTTAAAAATGGAACAAAACCTCTGAGAAATGAGGGATTACGTAAAGATACCAAACTTGTAGCTCACTGTCATTACTGACAAAGATGAAAAAGAGCAAAGAAATATGGAAATAATTGGATAAGTATTGAGAAATACTTCTCAACTATTTCTCAATATTCAATAAATATGGAGAAGCAAATATGGAAAACATATTTGAGAATATTGTCCACGTAAATTTTCCCAATCTTTGACATACAAATTCAGGAAATTCAGAGAACCCCTGTGAGATACTGTACAAAATGACCAAATCCAAGACACATAGTCATCAGCTTCTCCAAGGTCAATGCAAAAGAAAATATTAAAGACAGCTAAACAGAAGAGGCAGGTCATGTTCATAGGGAACCCATCAGGCTAACAGTGGATCTTTCAGTAGAAAATTTACAATCCAGAAGAGATTTGGGGCCTATGTTCAGTATCCTAGAAAAGAAATTCCAACCAAGGATTTCATATCCAACCAAACTAAGCTTCATAAGCAAAGGAGAACTAAAATCCTTTTCAGACAATCAAATGCTAAGGGAATTTATTACCATGAGACCTGCCTTACAATAAATCCTTAAGGGAGTACTATATATGGGAACAAAAAGCTGATGCCTGCCACCACATAAAAGCACATTTAAGTACATAAGCCCATTGACACTATAAAGCAACTATACAATCAAGTCTACATAACAACCAGCTAATAACAGAATGACAGAATCAAATTCTTACATATCAGTATGGACCTTAAATGTTAATGGGATAAACACCCTAATTAAAAGACACAGAGTGGAAAGTTGGATAAAAAATCAAGATCTAACTGTATACTGTCTTCAACAGACCCATCTCATATGCATGACACCCATAGGCTCAAAGTGAAGGAATGGAGAAAGATCTATCAAGCAAACAGAATAAAAAGCAGGGGTGGGTATTTCCATATCAGAGAAAATGAGTTTTAATCCACAACAATAAAAAAGTACAAAGAAGGGTATTACATAATGATAAAGGGTTCAACTCAACAAAAAAACTTAACTATCCTAAATATATATGCACCCAACATTGGAGCACCCAGATTTATAAAACAATTTCTTAGAGACCTATGAAGAGACTTAGATAACCACACAATAATGGTTTGAGACTTTAACACCCCAATGACATTATTTGACAGCTCATCAAGGCAGAAATCTAACACATGATATTCAGGACCTAACCTTGACACTTGACCAAATGGACCTAACAAAAATCTGCAGAATACTTCATCCAACAAAAAACAGAATGTACATTCTCCTTCTGCACATGGCACATACTCTGAGATTGACCACATGCTTGGTTATAAAGCAATTCTCAACAAATCTAAACACCAAAATCATACCAACTTCATTCTCAAAGCACAGCATAATAAACATAGTAATCAATGTCAAGTAAAACTCCCAAAACCATACAATTGCATAAAAATTAAGCAATCTATTCCTGAATGACTTTTGGGTAAAGAATGAAATCAAAGCAGAAATCAAAAAGTTTATTGAAACTAGTGAAGAAAAAGATACAACATACCAAAACCTCTGGGACGCACCTAAAGCAATGTTGAGAGTGAACTTTATAATGCTAAATGCCTACACCAAGAAATTAGAAACATCTCAAATTAACAACATAACATCATCCCTAAAAGAACTAGAAAAACAAGAACGAACCAACTGCAAAGCCAGCAGAAGAAAAATAATCAAAATCAGAGCCGAATTGAACAAAATTAAGACATGAAAATCCATATAAAACATCAACAAAACCAAACATTGGTTTTTCTAAATAATAAACAAGATTGACACACCATTAGTGTGATTAATAAAGAACAAAAGAAAAAAATCCAAATAAACATAATTGGAAATGACAAAGGTGACATTACCACTGATCCAATAGAACTACAAAAAGCCCTAGAGACTAATATGAAGCCCTAGAGATTATTATAAACACTTCTAAGCACACAAACTAGAAAACCTAGAGAAAACACATAACTTCCTGGAAATATACACCTCTTAAGATTGAACTAGGAAGAAATTTAAATCCTGAACTGACTAATAATGGTTATGAAATTGTTATCAGTTTAAAAAAAAAAAGAAAAACTACCAACTAGGAAAAGCCCCAGACCCCATGGATTCACAGTTGAACTATACCAGTTGTACAAAGAAGAAACAATCCTACTGAAATTATCACAAACAGTTGAGGAGGAGGAACTCCTCCCTAACTCATGCTATGAGGCCAGCATCATTCTAGTACCAAAACCTGGCAGAGAAACAATAAAAAAAGAAAACCTCAACAAAAAACAGGGAACCTGTATCTATGTTCTTAATGAACATAGACACAAAGATCTTCAACAAAATATTGCCAAACTGAATTCAGCAGCACATCAAAAAGCTAATCCACAATGATCAAGTAGGCTTATTTCCTAGGATGCAAGTTTGGTTGAGTTGAACATACACAAATTAATAAATGTGATTTATTGTATAAACAGAACTAAACATCTCGATAGACACAGAAAAGGCTTTTGATCAAACTCAACATTCACTCTTGTTAAAAACCCTCGACAAACTAGGCATTGAAGAACACACCTCAAAATAATAAGAGTTATCTATGACAAACACACAGCCAACATCACACTGAATGGACAAAAGCTAGAAGCATTATTCTTGAGAACTGGAACAAGACAAGGATTCCCACTCTCACTACTCCTATTCAAAATAGTACTGGAATTACTACCCCCTACAAAAAAGCCAGGCAAGATAAAGAAATAAAAGGCATCCAAATAGGAAAAGAAGAAGTCAAACTATCTTTCTTCATATATGATATGATTCTATACCTAGAGAACCCCATAGTCTGTGCCCAAAGGCTCCCAGAACTTATAAAAAACTTTTATAAAGTTTCAGGATAGAAAATCAATGTACTAAATACAAAAATTATGAGCATTTCTATACACTAATAATATACAAGCTGAGAGCCAAATCAAGAACACAACCCCGTTCACAATAGCCAAAAAAGAATAAAACACTTAGGAATACAGTTAACCCAAGAAGTGAAAGATCTCTACTATGAGAATTTACAAAACACTGCTGAAAGAAATCACAGACAACACAAACAAATGGAAAAACATTCCATGCTCATGGATAGAAACAATCTATATTGTTAAAATGGCTATACTGCTCAAAGCAATTTACAGATTCAATCCTATGCCTATCCAACTACTAATGTCATTTTTTACAGAGTTAGAAAAAAACTGTTCTAAAATTCATATGGAATCCAAAAAGATTCTGAATAGCCACAGCAATCCTAAGCAAAAAAAAAAAAAAAAAACCCAGCAAACAAAAAAACAAAGCCAGAGGCATTACACTACCCAACTTCAAACAATATTACAAGGCTACAGTAAACAAAACAGCATGGTACTGGTACCAAAAAAAAAGACACATAGATCAAAGGAACAGGTTAGAGAACCCAGAAATAAAGCTGCACACCTTCCATCATTTGATGTTTGACAAAGCTGACAATAATAATCAATGGGGAAAGGACTCTTTATTAAATAAATGGTTTTGCAATAACTGGCTAGCCATATGCAGAAGATTAAAACTGGACCACTTCACTTCATCGTATACAAAACTCAATTCAAGATGGATCCAAAATTTTAATGCAAGACCTAAAACTACAAAAATCCTAGAAGAGAAGCTAGGAAATACCATTCTCAACATCAGCCTTGGCAATAATATCATGATGAACTCTCCAAAAGCAATTGCAACAAAAACAAAAATAGACAAGTGGGATCTAATTAAACAAAAGAACTTCTGCACAGCAGATGAAACTATCAGCAGAGTAAACAGACAACCTACAGAATGGAAAAAATTACTCACAAACTACGCATGCAACAAGGGTCTAATATCCAGGATTTATCAGGAACTTAAATCAACAAGTGAAAAGCAACCCCATTTAAAAATGGGGAAAGGATATGAACAGACACTTCTCAGAAGAAGACATCATGTGACCAATAAGCTTATGAAAAATGCTCAACACTACTAATCATCGGATAAATGCAAATCAAAACCACACTGAGATACCATCTCATACCAGTCAGAATGGCTATTACTAAAAAGTAAAAAAATAACAGATGTTGGCAAGGTTGCAAAGAAAAGGGAATGCTTATGCTGGTGGGAATTTAAATTATTTCAGCCACTGTGGAATGCAGTTTGATGAGTTCTCAAAGAACTTAAAACATAACTAACCATTTGACACAGCAATCCCATTACTGGGTATATAACCAAAGGAATATAAATCATTCTACCAGAAATAATTCTACACATGCACGCATATGTTTATTGCAGCACTATACACAATAGTAAAGACATGGAATCAACCTAGATATCCATCAACAGTGGACTTAGTAAAAACAATGTTGTACATTTACACTATGGAATACTATGCAGCTATAAAAAAAACAAAACCATGTCCTTTGTAGCAACATGGATGCAGCTGGAGGACATTATCCTAAGCTAATTAACGAAAAAACAGAAAACTAAATACCACATGTTCTCACTGACCAGTGGAAGCTAAACATTGAGTACACATAGACAGGAAGATGAGAACAATAGACACTAGGGCCTACTTGATGAGGGGGATGGGAAGAGGGTAAGGGGCTGAAAACCACTACCAGGTACTATGCTTACAACCAGGTACTATGCTCATTACCTGTATGACAAAATCATTTGTACACCAAACCCCAGTGGCAGAATTTACCCATGTAGCAAACCTGCTCGTGTACCCCCTGAACCTAAAATAAAAGTTGAAAAGAAAAAAAAATTGTTTCAGTATTGCTTGTAGGAATACATAAAGGGGGTATTGTGGAAAAATGATTGCCGCCTATAGTGGTGCAGTTTGCTCTGCTGAACAAAAGTGCCCAGGTAAGATAATTAATGAGAGCTGAAATCCAGCCTGAATTCTGAGCAACCAGCTATGCTCCCTGCTCAGCTTCACTCTAATTTGCACAAAGGCACTGACGGACAAGCAAACACCCTGACAACAACTATAGGAAGCAAGACAAGGAGACAAGCTCAAGAATTGAGCAGGGATCATTAAATTGCTATTAGTAGGGACAAGAGTAACATAACAAAAACACTTAGAAATATTGAGAGGGTATCTGGATTTTAATTATATGTTTGACGTAGACTTCAGAATTTTCTAAAGATATGAAATTAAAAGTAATCCCTAGTGGCTAGCATGTGGGGAATATGTAACCCACACATTATGGAGCACTGCTATTGAATGGAATTCTCAGGACAGCTCATAGGCTGCTTCTCTCCCCTTTGTTAAGAGCATATGGTTGCCAAGTCTTTGCTATTGTGAATAGTGCCACAATAAACATACGTGTGCATGTGTCTTTATAGCAGCATGATTTATAGTCCCTTGGGTATATACACAGTAATGGGATGGCTGGGTCAAATGGTATTTCTAGTTCTAGATCCCTGAGGAATCGCCACACTGACTTCCACAATGGTTGAACTAGTTTACAGTCCCACCAACAGTGGGACTATTTCTCCACATCCTCTCCAGCACCTGTTGTTTCCTGACTTTTGAATGATTGCCATTCTAACTGGTGTGAGATGGTATCTCATTGTGGTTTTGATTTGCATTTCTCTGATGGCCAGTGATGATGAGCATTTTCTCATGTGTTTTTTGGCTGCATAAATGTCTTCTTTTGAGAAGTGTCTGTTCATATCCTTCACCCACTTTTTGATGGGGTTGTTTTTTTCTTGTAAATTTGTTTGAGTTCATTGTAGATTCTGGATATTAGCCCTTTGTCAGATGAGTAGGTTGCAAAAATTTTCTCCCATTCTGTAGGTTGCCTGTTCACTCTGACGGTGGTTTCTTTTGCTGTGCAGAAGCTCTTTAGTTTAATTAGATCCCATTTGTCAATTTTGTCTTTTGTTGCCATTGCTTTTGGTGTTTTAGACATGAAGTCCTTGCCCATGCAACCCAAATGTCCAACAATGATAGACTGGATTAAGAAAATGTGGCACATATACACCATGGAATACTATGCAGCTATAAAAAATGATGAGTTCATGTCCTTCGTAGGGACATGATGAAGCTGGAAACTATCATTCTCAGTAAACTATTGCAAGGACAAAAAACCAAACACCGCATGTTCTCACTCATAGGTGGGAATTGAACAATGAGAACACATGGACACAGGAAGGGGAACATCACACACCGGGGACTGTTGTGGGGTGGGGAGAGGGGGGAGGGATAGCATTAGGAAGTATGCCTAATGCTAAGTGACAAGTTAATGGGTGCAGCACACCAACATGGCACATGTATACATATGTAACAAACCTGCACGTTGTGCACACGTACCCTAAAACTTAAAGTGTAATAATAATAATAACTAAACAAATAAATAAATAAAAGAGTATATGGTTGCCATTGGGTCAAGTATTTATTTATAGCTCAATAAGACCTAGAAATAAGCTGAGACCAACTATTCTAATAGGTACTCTTCAACAGGTTCTCCTGTCCAGGTACAGATGTTTAACTATTCTTGTCAATAGGTTCCATAAAGTCCAAATATATTTTATCAACATTTGAAATAATTTTAAATAATTCTTAATTTTTAAATTCATAGTAACAATGAAAACATTTGTTTAAAAAATTGAGACTACATTGTGAACAGGAATTATAACTATGGTTACCTTAGAGATGCAGCCCCTCTATCAATGTAATCTGACAGTTGATTATGTAATAGAAACATTCTATTAAGGAGGAAGTAATTATTTTTAAATGATAAGATACATCAATTTATTACAACTTAAAATATAATAACATAACTTCATTTGCTAATCATTTATGTTAGGTGAAAGCCTTTTCTGGGAATTAGCCCACTGTTGGAAGCCTCAGATTATTCATCTTGTATAAAACCACAGCAATAATGAATGTCTTACACTTTCCAATTTCTGTTCATGTTAATGTGAAATGAAAACTTAAAGACACTCGCAATGTAATTTGAATGCAGAGTCATTTTATTAATGATTTCTTGCCATTTCTATAGTTATCTTGCCCAAATTTATTTTTGGCAGCTCAATTCAATTTTATTAGTCTTCTCAACACATTCCACTGATATTCATAACAACTACAACTCATTATTCACACTTACATTTCATCAAATAAAGTCATTCTTTTTTTTTGAGACAGAGTTTCACTCTTTCGCCCAGGCTAGAGTGCAGTGGTGTGATCTCAGCTCACTGCAACCTCCGCCTTCTGGTTTCAAGCGATTCTCCTGCCTCAGCCTCCCGAGTAGCTGGGATTACAGGTGCGTGCCACCACACCTGGCTAATTTTTGTATTTTTAGTAGAGATGGGTTTCACCATGTTGGTTTCACTGGTCTCGAACTCCTGACCTTGTGATCGCCTACCTCGGCCTCCCAAAGTGCTGGGATTAGAGGCATGAGCCACCACACCAGGGCCCTAAAGTAATTCTTTTTGAAGCTTGACTTTTATAAACACATTTGATAAACACAAGGAATCTTGATAAGCTTGGAGCTCAACTGATGGGAGTAGAAGAGCCCAACTTACCAGAAAATATTGTATTTGCTGCTATTGATCAACAGTCTGTGGGCATCACCATTAGGTGTCAGAAATGGAACATAGAGCATTTGTTCATCTGAAATGATTCAAGGGAAGTTCTTTTATACAACGTATTATAAATCATATTCGGTGGAATTTTGATACAAACTACCAGTTGCCTCAGTACATACACCTGATGAAAATATAGACCTGAAAAAAAGAATGGCCTCTGTTCTTGTCTTTTCTTGATTTTTCATTTCCATATTTTGTTCAAATTCTCCTGATCATTCTCTATTGTTCTATATTGTTTTTATCCAACATGAACCTCTGTCACTATGTCACTTTCTTGTGTAAGGGTCTCAGTCTCCACCTGCTACTGATTTATTTGCTCAGATTATGCTTTAGGAAGAATATCTATGTTACAAATTGTTAAGGAGGTTTTCTTTTCCGGCAGTTCTGGAGTTTTAGTCACCTGGTTAACTAAGGATTTCTCTCTCTCTCTCTCTCTCTCTCTCTCTCTCTCTCTCTGTCTCTCTGTCTCTCTCTCTCTCACACACACACACACACACACACACACACACACACACAGAGCAAATCCAAATATCTGATTAGAACACCTGGTCCCCTTTCCATGTAGTATATTCTAGTTACAATAAAGGGAAGGATATGTTTTCACATGCTGACTAGGAACATGAATACAATTATATTTCTTGGAGGCCAACGTCAAACTTGTCTTTGCTCCATAATCAAGGCGGTTTCTGGATAGTTTCAAATTCATCATATTTGAGCTACAATATATTACAGAAAGGAAAACATTTCTGTTTTCTCATTTCCTCATTTATTATTCATTTCTTCAAGTCCTCATTCCAATATGACTTTCTACTTAGCTTACTTTTCCATTCCATCATTCATTCTGCTCCTGCCATTCTGCTTTCTTACCATTCAGAAAATAAAAATACTGTTTCCCTCTCTATTCTTAAGGAAGGAAAAATTATTACTTTCTTTAAATTATGAAGTTTCTTGGATAAAATTTTGAGTTTACTTATTTAGTTGCTCAATTAATAC
This sequence comes from Homo sapiens, assembly GCF_000001405.40. NCBI lineage: Eukaryota > Metazoa > Chordata > Mammalia > Primates > Hominidae > Homo > Homo sapiens. The sequence continues at coordinate 97,614,362 of NC_000005.10, read as the reverse complement.
TTTAAAATCTACCACTCATGCAAACTACCTAAACAATTATTTTCTATAAAACCTGTCCCTTAAAGCAGAGAATCTTGCAGTATGCAAGATATATATGCTATTTGCCATCAGCATGTAACTTACCTATCTTCACTTCACCTATTTAGGCTATTAATAGAAATAGCATTTCCTCTATTTTGTGGGCTTCATAATTAATGATCAGCATAGGAAAAATAGAAAATATAGATAAGCAAAATAAAACAAATATTTCAAAGAATGCAGAAGAGTTGTTTGTAGGATACCTAACTTTGGGACTGTCCAAATGCTTTCTAATAGTTAGATTCAGTTTTTGCATTTTTGCCAGGAATATTACAAAATTGATGGTGTCTTTCTGAGAGTAGCATACCCAGAGGCATGTGACATCAGTTTGATTGTCATGACATGTTAATTTGCCAAGAAGCAGGCTCTGATAGAAAGGCTAGTATGAAGGATTTATCAAGAACTGCTCTTGAGATTACCAGCTGGGAAAAGGCAGAAAGGAAAATGGATTTTGTACAGAGAAGGTGGGCTGTGTTGTAGTCTCAAAAAAAGCCTCCGCTGATCCCCCAGGAAGGAATAAGACTACAATGGCCCTTTAGACTTATCTAGCATTGAGTTAAGTGTTCTAGGCCTTTAGGCACCTATTTCATCCAATTGTTGGATGGGGGCCACAATGGAAAGAGGGTATGCTCTCGAGTGAAATGACCTCTTCAATCAAGGCAATTCCAAGGAGAACTCACAGCTGCAGGCTGTCTGACTAAAAGACCTTCACTGTGAGAATACATCTTTTAGTCCTGAAACAGGACTTAGGTGGCATCTCACAGTGTCTACTACATCCCATTAGTGGTAATGTTAACTTTGGTCACCTTTCTGTCATATTTCTCCACTGTAAAGGTAGCTTATTTCCTTTTGTAATTAATAAGCAATAATATAGGGAAAATGTTGACATTATGTAATTATCCTGTTCCTCAACGAATTTTACTGGATGATTTTATTAACCATTGAGAATTTCTGCCTCAATCAATTATAACTGCAATTGTTGACAAATTGTGATTTTTCTACTTGATCATTCTTTTTATATTTACTAATTAGCATTCTCCTATAAAGAAGAGTGTTGCTTTCCTTGATCGTTTATTAATTTATTCATTTTTATTAGCAATATAGACTTCTAAATTATATTTTTAATTTAATGAGATTAATCCAATAATTTTTTTATCTTCATGCTTAAATTGTGCCATGTTCGATCAATGGGGCCTTCATTAAGCTTTCTGTTCTTTTTGACATAAATTCTATCCACTTCTGAGCACTTCCTTAATTCTGGTTCTTGATCTTACTTCAGGTTGTTTTAGGCTCCTCTTGCATTTTCTTTGCCTTGGCCCTGGATTTAACCATTTTTCCAAGGTGACTTTCTTTTAGTGTGGGATGGTATAAAACTTAGAAACACTTTGGTTTATGATAGATATGTTTCTGGTAGCTAATATATAAATGATTTACAAAGTCTAGTATTTGTTATTCAATAATTTTACCCATAGTTTTCTTATTTTAACATTGGGATAAAAATAAATTTTGCACGAGATTATTGAGAGAACCTATGTAAAATTTTAGGACAACGTGTGGCATGTAGTAAGCATTCAATATATAATTGTAATCTTTATGTCTATTCCCAATGCCTGGTATATAGTAATTATTTAATAAATGTCTTATCTTGTTGAATATAATTGCCATATAAATAAGTAAATATGTAAGCAATTAAAAATCACATAAAAATCACCACAACGGTTTACGGGGTTTTTTTTTACTCATTCTAACTTTACTAATGTATCTGGCTGCATGTTATTATTCCATTTAACCTAAAACATTAACTTTAAACAAAAACTATTTTGGGTAAACATCACTAGACATTTTTAAGTATTTACAAAATTAGTAAACTTTATTTGCATTTGCATAAATACTGATCTGTGTATATTGCACACATACTTTATGAGAAATGAGGAAATGTTATTCTAAATTCTCAAAGAAATTTGGGGAAGTGATTTATTCTTAATAAATAAACATCTGAATTTAAAAACATAATTAAAATTTCTAAAATAATTTTAGTACTTTAAGAAGAATTCTAGGCCTAAACTAACAATTACCTCTAATAAATGAAGTATATTCAAAATAGATTTTATTACTGTATTCTCCTTTTTTACAGTATTATATTTGTACCTAATTAGCAAGGTCATTATATTGGTAATCTTGGTTTATTTTAATCCACATGACTATGACTTCGGAAATTGAAAAATCACATCCACGACAAGTTAGATAATGTTCTTTAACGACTCCAGATGAAATTAAGTAATTAACAAATTTAACATTATCTAAGCCAATTAAAGACATTAAAATGACTGGGATTTTTTAAATGTATACACTTTTTTTAAACAAATATTTGTGTTTTAAAACTCTAACAGATTTGAAATTTTCACAATTACACAATTGGAAAAGAGTTATAGGGTTCATAACAACTGATGCAAATGATCCTTGCCCTGCTTGTAAAACATCTCAAGAAACAATGAAACATGTCTACAGCTAAAAAGACTGTATTTAAAGAGCATTAAACATCTACCAGTTATAATAATAAACTATTTTTAGAGAAGTTTTACTTATTTTCTACACTAAAGAAAATACTTTTAACTCCCAGCATTCTCAGGAGATAACGTATGCTGATTTCAAAAGAATTTAAACTAGACAGGGCATATCTGGAAAGAACCCATAGAATTATAATTAAGCCCCATATTTATCCAAGTACATGATTATATTTGAACATCTATTCAACTGAGCATTATTCAGTTATGATTATATCAAAAAAAATAAGATAAAATATGTATAATTTCGCATTTCTCCATATCTTAAACATTTGCATTATATCATGCTTATTTGTATCATGCATAATTTTCACATTTTACACCATGTTCCACTACATATTATATGGTATTATATCTTTAACGATTTAGAAAGTATTCAGTGAGATGTATTAAAGTAAGATTGGTATAGGTTTCAAGAGCTTTTGGATTTTTGTTGCACCTCTGCTATCTATCAACATTTATTATGACTTTGTTTGTGTCACTTATGAGTTTTAGACCTTATTTTCCTTATTAGTAAAATGAAACTGTTTACAATGAGGGTCAAATGTGATACATAACAGGAAAGTGTTTGAATAGTGTTAAGTGTACATAAGTTTTAGACATTTTGGAATGACTTATCTTGTAAAATAATATTTATAGAAAAAATGCTCTGGTGCATTGAGATTTCTTTTGACATTAACTCTAGGTAAAGGGAGAATGTTATACTAAGAAGTTTCTCATCACAAGATGGGGCTACACAAAGTATTAATAAATGAGTCCAAGCATTCTAGGCTTATCTCTACTCCATGTCTTATTCATCTTACCTATGTTGATGATCTAATTATTTATCAAGTTACTTTGACTAAGCTTTATGGTTCCTATCATATGTTAATCCTGTGTTCAGTGTCATGAATACAAAGAAAGATAAAGCAATGACCCTGAACTCAAGGAACTTATTATCTAGTAAGGAAGACAGGAAACCAACACAAACTGCATCAAGGATGTGATGAATGGTATCAGTTAGAGTTCAGATCTGACCATGTGCAACAGAAAATCCAGAAAATAGTGGTTTAACAAAATAAACTTAATTTTATTTTAATATTATAGAGGAAGTTAATCTAGGGCTACTGCAGCAACTAAACTATGTCAAGACCAAGGTCTACATGATTGTTTTTAGTCTTTCGTGGTTGGTGGCAATATGGTGGCCACAGTTCCAGCTATTGTATCTGCATTTTAGGCAGAAAGTAGAGAAAAATGCAAAAAAAAAGAAAAAAAAATGGAGCATGTGCTATCTGAATGTATCTCCCTTTTAAGAAGTTTCTTAGAACCTCACACAACAGTACTCTTAACTCATTGGACAGATTTATTACCTTTGCCGTGATTATCACCTCCCATGCTTGAAAGGCAGAGAAATCAAGTTGCTGCCACAAACAAAACTAGAATTCTCTCGTAAATGAATATATATATATATATATATATGCACATACATATACATATATCTTCCTATATGAACATTGCATGGGCTATTTGAAATGGTTACCATGGAATTATAAAGAAAGAGCATCCAAATCAAACTTGATTGTGTAGTGTTAATGTGGATCTTCATTCCTCTCCAAAAATACCTCTCAAAACCTACTACCCCACCCAATCTCCCTCAGACCTGTAAATTACACTACCATCCCACTATATCTATTCCATTACTAAAACCAGAAATCTTGGAGTCATTGCCAGTTTTCCCTATATTTCTCCTAAAAGACATTTTATTCCATCTTTAAATATTCTCAATGTGTCAATATCTCCATTCCTCTGCCATCATTTACACCCTAGATCTCAATACTTTTCATTTAACTGTTGCAGAAGCCTCCTAACTTGTCTTCTCACTTTCACTCTTGATTTTGTCAATTCCTTCCTCTGCTCACATGGTAACAAGAATTGTGTTTTCTTAAAATGTAATTAAAACCAAATTATAACTCTTTTATTTAAAATTCTTCAAAGATTCCCCATTGCTCTTACAACAAAATGCAAATTTATCCAAAAACAGTAGGACTATGCTAGAGGGCTATAAACCCCAAATACTGACCCAAGCTCTAGCTTCAATACTACAGAGAAAATGCCAAAATGAATCCAACTGTCAAAGAGACCAATTTTACCATTTAACAACTGTGAGCCCAAGAATAATTCCCCTCACCTGCCTGAGCTTTCTTGTGTGTAATAAGAAAGTTGACCTGATTAACACTAATAGTTCTAAAATCCTATGAAGAGCAAAAGCAGTCTGGGTCTGCTATTAAAAAGTTTTTAGTACTTCAGCTGTGCACCTGTCTGTTCTTTCACAAGGTAACTGTTAATGACAAAAGGCCATCCGTTTTTTCAAAGTTCCATCTGTATATAATTCTGTCTGACACAGTTTTTTATCAGGATAGGCAGATGGTAGATTAGCTCCAAAAACATACTGTAGCATCATTAGTGTAACTCAATCCCAAATGCAATACTGGATCTTCTTGAGTTCAGATGCCCTTAATTATGCTCATTCCAAGCATATGGTTGCCAAACAAATCAGTAAATTTTTATTATGTTCTTAAATGCAAACTGTATTTTCTTGAAAAAGCTTATTCCTTATTACTACTCAGAAAACAAGTTAAATACAAACTGCCTAAATAAGCATAGAAATAGAATTTAGTAAACTGCACTTTTGTGCCCCCTAGGAAGAAATTAGAACATATTTCAGAATAACCAATTAGCTCAAAAAGTTCATGAAAATTAGCAAGTAAAATAATATGTCTACTTTACATATTCCTCTAACAAATATTTACTTGGTATTTGTATACCTGATACAGAAAACAAAAATATTCATATTATTTTGTGCATTATATTTTCAATATACTTTTACATTGAAAGTACCATTTACAATCTGTGTAAAACATTATACACATTATGCCTAATAAAATCCATATGCATAAAATCCCTCAGTCTCTAAGAATAGCATGTACTCTGAATCGACAACTCCCATTGGCTCTTTCCTTACTTGTAGTCTTGTCATCAGCTGATAAAACAATTCCTTGTCTCCAAAATCCTTGCCCTCACTTAAGCTTCTATTTTCCATCATTGGAGATATAATCAGCGAATCCAACTGTTCTTAACAAACGTTTATATCAAGTCCTGTCACTGCTCCAAAGGAGCCATTACAATGAATAATTTTATGGGTAGTTTGGGCCCAAAGAATCCTAAAAGACGCATTACAGCCTATTGTGTCAAATAGGCTTGCAAAATAGAGGCCCTCAATTTGACTGTCAAATACAGAGTCAAATCACTCCCCAGGATCAATAATGTGCATGTTAAGAGTCTCTCAATACACAAAGATATGAGTCATTTTATTCTAGTTCATCAATGACTTATCTTGTTCAAAAGTGCCTTAATCAGAGCCAGGAACAGTCCTTAATTGACTGATACAGCCACTTTTTCGCCACCCTTTAAAAAGGCAACCCTTTTTAAAAAATTCAGTCATTTGTCAGAACTGCTTAATTTGTGGCAACTCAAAGATGCTCTTTGCTTATCTTCCATGGAGTTGGTCTTATCTGCTACGTCTGAAATTATTTTAATTTTATAGTACAATAAAAGTAGTCCATTGCTACAGAAAGTCACATATTCTCTTATGAGTAACCTCAATGACACAGCTTAGTTTATCAAATTAACAAAATTGATGCCTTGGGAATCTTTAGGAGATTATATAAAATAATATGATAATTTAATGAGGGGAAGAGAGAGGGTACTTACTGGTAAGGACAACTCTAAGAAAAGCATCTCTTCCTTTCCTCTTTGCATAACAACTAGGTGGCATGGAAGAGACTGAGCCCACTCCAGCTCTAAAGTTGGACTCTGATGGATTGAAGCCATTTGGGTCATTTTTAAATTTAGGTGAGATCACATACCTAAGGCCTAAGCTAATCAGAACATGGTATTCCATTGATTTAGTGAACGGTTCAGGAGTGGGCATGTAACCAAATTATTCTACTCATAAAAAGACTCAAGATTTTTTTATTTCACAGTTAAGAAAAGAAAATCCCTATCTTACTCCAGGTGTAAATGAAAATAACTAGAGGCTGTGGATGCTATAGCTGGCAGCCTTCTTTCAATCATGAGATGAGCCACCCTGAGGATGAGATGAATACATGGAGGAAGTCATCACTGAGAGCCACAGGGACATGGGTCTGCCACCTCAATGACACCATTCAAGTCATTAATGTTTATTAATGTTTGCATCAAACCAACCCTAAAGCCCACATTCCCACAGGATTTTTTAGTAATGTAAGTCGATAAATATCTTATTGCTTGAGCCAGGTGCTAGAATCCTAAATTTTTAATAAGCACTAATCAACGGGCCTTCTAGAGAAGTTTAACAAAGGGACAGGAAGTAGACAGAATATGGGAATGATGAATCAGAACAAATGAAGCTTTGTTGATCTGGCAATTTTTCCTAAAACCTCTATAAGGTTATAAACTGTGAATAGTTCTCAAAGGTGTATAAAGTGTTTAGACCATAAAACTCAATTGTATGAACACCAAAAAGTAACTTTATAAAGTAATACACTTTAATTTTTATTTTGAGCCTCTATTCTGCCTAATGGCAGGAGATTTAATTCCAAATAAACTTAACCATTTTAAGTGTCTATTGAGTCAATTCAAGTTTTTTCTTTCCCTTTCTTCTAGAGAGGCATCAATCAACTAGATAATTTATGTAACATCATGGCACTGATGGGTAACATTGAAAGGATCATCATCATTTGCCCACAATGACAGCCATGGATGAATATCATTCTGTCTGTCCCTCACAGTGGTCATACCTCCCACTGGCACACAGTGGTCTCAGTATTCTGTTCTCTATACTTTGCTCATGAGAACCATTTGGATTAGTTCACCCTTTCACAGCCACCTTTAGGCACTAATCTGTGTCACAAATAAGTCCCAGGTGCTCTCCTCTGTCATCCTAAAGATATTGGAGAATCCAGTGTGGTAGTATTGCTCATGCAGCTATGCCTAAAATGTCAACTTCCTCTTTAAACTTCACTGGTATTATATCAAGCAAATCTTGTTTGCTTTCTTGGGCTCCACTCAAGAAATGAGAACATATGTTCTCTATTCTCAGGTGCCCCAAATTGCCTAGATATTTTTATAACTTGAAATGGGAAGTAGAGAGTTTTCCTGGAGACTTACTCCAACACCACACTCTCAAAGTTCTGTTAGCTTTCCTCTCTTTACCAGCTCAAAGGTTTTACTTATGGTAGATGAAGTAGACTTACTAATAGTTCTCCAAAGATGTCCATATCTTAGTCTCTGTAACCTCTGAGTATGTTGCCTTACATAGCAGAAGGAATTTTTCAAATGTGATTAAATTAAAGATTTTAAAACAGGGAAATTATCTCAGATTACTAGGTGGGCCAATGTCATCACAAGACTTTTTTTTCAACTTTTATTTTAGATTCAGGGGGTACTTGTGCAGGTTTGTTACTTCAGTATATTGTGTGATGCTGAGGCTTGGCTTACAGTTGAGCTCATCGCCAAGGTAGTGAACATAGTACCCAACAGTTAGTTTCAACACTGGTGCCTCCTCCTTCCCTCTTCCTTCTTGTAGTCCCCAGTGTCTATTTTTGCAATCCTTATGTCCATATACACCCAATGCTTAGTACTTACTTATAAATGAGAACATACGGTACTTAATTTCCTGTCTCTGTGTTATTTCACTTAGAATAATGGCCTTCAGCTGCATCTATGTTGCTGCAAAGGAAATTATTTTATCCTTTTAAAGGCTGCATAGTATTCCATCACACACACACACACACACACACACACACACACACACACACACGCACACACACACACACACACACACATATATATCACATTTTTCTTTATTCAATCCACTATTGATGAGCACCTAATCAATGGTGCTCATGGAATCAGTAGCAAATACCTTGATTCCATGTATTTGCTATTGGGAGTATTGTTGCAATAAAACTACAGGTGCATATGTCTTTTTGGTAGAATGATTTCTTTTTCCTTGGGTATATACACAGTAATAGGATTACTGGGTTGAATGATAGCTTCCTTTTTAGTCCTTTGAAAAATCTCCAAACTCCTTCCCACAGTGGCTGAACTATTTACATTGCCACGAGCAGTGTATAGGCATTCCCTTTTCTCTGCAGCCTCACCAACATCTGTTATTTTTTGACTTTTTAATAGCCATTCTGACTAGTGCAAGATCGTACCTTACTGTGGTTTCTATTTGCGTTTTTCTGATGATTAGTAATGATGAGCCTTTTCTCATATGTTTGTTGGCTGCTTGTAGGTATTCTTTTGAGAAGTGTTTGTTCATGTACTTTGCCCACTTTTTAACCGGGTTACTTGGTTCCTGCTTGTTGATTTCTTTGAGTTCTTTGTAGATTCTGGAGACTAGAAATTTGTCAGATTCATAGTTTGTGAATATTTTCTCCCAATCTGTAGGTTGTCTGTTTACTATGTTGATCATTTCTTTTGCTATGCAGACTCTCTTTAGTTTAAGTAGTTCCCACTTGTCAATTTTTGTTTTTATTACAATTGCTTATAAGGACATAGCCATCAATTCTTTGTAAAGGCTGATGTCAAGAAGGGCATTTTCTAGGTTTTCTTCTTTGACTTTTATAATTTGGGGTCTTAAATTTAAGTATTTAGTCTATTTTAGTTAACTTTTATTATAGTAATAGGTAAGGATCCAATTTGATTCTTCGGCATATGGATAACCAGTTATCCCAGCACCATTTGCTGAATAGGGATAACTTTGCTCTTGCTTATTTTTTGTTGATTTTGTCAAAGATCAGATGACTGTAGGTGTGTAGCTTTAGTTCTGCATTCTCTTTTCTGTTCCATTGATCTACAAGTCTGTTTTTACATGAGTACCGTACTGTTTTGGTTACTGTAGACTTGTAATGTGGTTAGAAGTCAGGTAATGTGATGCCTCAGGCTTTCTTCTTTTTGCTCAGGATGGCTTTGGCTATTTTGGGCTTTTCTTTTCATTCTATATGAGGTTTAGAATAGTCTTTTCTAATTCTGTGAGAAATGGCATTAGTAACTGGATAGGAATAGTACTGAATCTGTAGATTGCTTTTGACAGTATGGCCATCTTAACAATATTGATTATTCCTATCCAAAGACATGGAAGGTTTTTCAATGTGTTTGTGTTTTCTGTGATTTCTTTTAGCAGTGTTTGGTAGTTCTCTATGTAGAGATCTGTTACCTCTTTGGTTAGATGTGTTCCTAGGTATTTTTCATGTGTGGCTACTGTAAATGAAATTGCATTCTTGATTGGGCTGTCAGCGTGAACAATATTTGTGTATAGAAATGCTACTGATTTTTGTACATTGATTATCCTGAAACTTTACAGAAGTTACTTATCAGTTTCAGGAGCTTTTTGGTGGTGTATTTAGTGTTGCCTAGCTATAAGATCAAATTATTTGCAAAGAGAAGTAGTTCAATTTCTTCTTTTGTTATTTGAATGCCTTTTATTTATTTCTCTTGCCTGATTGCTTTGGCTAGGATTACCCATTCTATGCTGAATAGGAGTGCTGAGAGTTGGCATCCTTGTCTTGTTCCAGTTCTCAAGGGGAATACTTCCAGCTTTTTCTCATTCAGTATGATGTTGTCTGTGGGTTTGTAATAGATGGCTCTTATTATTTTGGGGTATGTTCTTTCAATGCGTAGTTTCTTGAGGGTTTTTTATCATGAAAGGACATTGGATTTTATCTAAAGTTTTTCTACCATCTATTGAGATGATCACATGATTTCTGTTTTTAATCCTGTTTATGTGGTGAATCACATTTATTGATTTGTGTATGCTGAACCAACCTGCATCCTAGGAATAAAGCCAACTTGATCATGGTGAATTAACCTTTTGATGTGCTTCTGCATTCAGTTTGCTAGTACATTGTTCAGGAGTTTTGCATCTATGTTTACCAGGGTTATTGGCCTGTAGTTTTTTCTTTTTTAAAAAGTAAACAAAATTGACAAACATTTAGCTACACTAAGGAAAGAAGAAAAAGTGTCTAATAAAATCATAATTGAAAGAGAAAAAATAGAATTAACATATGATCCAGCAATCCTAGTTGTTTACCCAAAGGATTTGAAATCAGTTTGTTAAAGAAATTTCTGCATTCTCATATTCATTGCAGCACTATGCACAGTAGCAAAGTTAAGGAATCAACCTGAGTCAGCCCACTAATGAATGAATAAAAAAAATGCCATTCCTAGCAAATTTACCCTTGAGGTAGAGATTTCACAGCTTGTCAGGATTTAATTTGCATCCCAGAATTGCCTCCATTTTGAGAAAAGGGGCAATTATGACAGCAACTAATTCACTTTTTAAAATACCTCATATTACTGCCACATGAAGAACATTTAAGCATGGCAGGCCATAGAGAATCCCTTCAAGTTTGTACCTTCTAATTGAGTTATTTTACACTTTTTGTCTCTAATCTTCCAGCTACCAAGGTGTCTTTCATTTATTACCTATGCATTAAATTCTTTACAACGTGCACATGTCAGTTCATTGGGGCTACTATAACAAAATACCATACACTGGGTGGTTTATAAACAACAGAAAGCTATTTCTTACAGTTCTGGAGAGTAGGAATTCCAAGATCAAAGCATCAGCAGAATTTGGTGTCTGGAGAGGACCTGCTTCCTCATAGGCAGTTCCTTCTCACTGTGTCCTCATGTGGAAGAATAGGTGGGCAGCTCCCTTTGGTCCCTTTTATAAGAGCACTAATTCCATTCATGAGGGTTCTGTCTTTATGACCTAATCACCTTGGAAAGGTCCCACCTCCCCATTACCTTGGGGGTGAAGATTTTAACATATTAATTTAGGGTGGGCATTCAGATCATAGCAGCACATATGAAGGAAGGAAGGTACTGGGCCACTCAGCATTCTGCATTCACCCTTGTAATTGCTCCACAGCAAGGAAGCATTCATTCAATAAGGCAAAGAGTCATTGGTGGTGACTTGTTTTGTCTCCTTTCTGCCAATTCCTTTTCTAGAAATTCTACCTCAAAGTCTTTTAAAATTTAAAGGTAAAAGTTATCCTCATCCTAACATAGCTGAAGTTGGTCATCTACTTCTAGCTCTCTTAGCTCTCCTCTGCACACAGTTCCTCCCTGAAAGATGCCATTCACATTTATTCCTTCACAGTTCAGCTTCATAAGCATTTCTATGTGGGTACCTCTGTGAGCTATATGTCTCTAGTTTCTGTTCTCCAAGTTCCAATTTTACACATTCTACTCCCTACTCTACCTTTCAGTGTTGCTGAGTCAATGTTATCCAAAACATAGTATTTCCAAACCTTCACCACCATCTCCTCTACCTCCAAAACAGCTATTGTTTTCAGGTAAAGTCTAGACTGGCACCGTTTAATATAACTACAATGAGAGCCACATGTGTAATTTTAAATTTTTTAGTAGCCACATTAAAAAAAAACAAAAGAGAAACAAGGGAACTTTGTCTTAATAATACCTATGAAATAATATATAGTTAACACATTTTATTTAACTGCATCCCAATATTATTTTTAACATGTCATTTATACAAAAAAAGATATTTTACATTTTTTCACACTAAATCTTCAAAATATGGTATTTACACTCTCAGCATATCTTATTGTTACTAGTAGCTACCATATTGAAGAGTGCAGGTTTACACTCATTCATCTGTAATTCAAGACTATCCTCACTCAGATTCCAGCTTCTTCTCAGCCTTAGCTCCTGCTACTCCTCCTCAAGCACTCAACACTCCTCTCAGAGCAGACTCTTCCTTCTACACTTCCTGTACTTCCATACATTTGTATTTGTTGGCACCATTCCCTCTACACAGAATTCCTCTTTTCTGCCCCTCTTACTAACCCACATTTCATGGTCTCTGAACACTTGTAGAAAACGTTATTTCTTTTTAACTAACCTAGAATGATTCACACGCCTATAAGGTCAATATTTTTTCAAGGTTCCTTTTTCCTCTGTGTTTCCCTCACGCTGTCACTCTTACCTTTCTTACCTCATGCTGTCCCTTCTACTTTGATAACTGAAAGTTATTCTTAACATGATGCTTAGCTTTGCAAAAGTAAGAGGTCAAACTGGGCCTCCCAGTGTTTTAGTGGCTAAGAAAATAGAAGATTGGTAGCTGCCACAAGACAATAGTAAAATATAATCAGGGATCAGATTACCTATACCAAACTTCTTAAAATATTCTTCTAAAGTCTCTGAGAAGAATTAAAGATTTATTTCAAAAGCAACTTTTTTCCAAAGATATAAGAAAGCATGCCTGATTATCTATTAACCAACTGAATCTTAATTCCTTGCTTGAAGAAAAAAGAAGGTATTTTGAAATGTTAAGCTTCACATTAAAAAAAATGGAGATGACATCAGCAACATGACAGAATAGAAAGCTCCTGACTTTACACCCACAAATTCAGCAAATAAGCATCTATTCACAGATAAATTCCCTCTAAGAGAAAGTCAAAGACTAGCTGAGAGACTCCTGCCTACAAGGCAACTGAGACAACATCCACATCAAATGGTTAGGAATATCTGAGGCACACACAGGCATGGACCCTGTCCTTGGCACCGCAACATACAATTGAGAAAGGAATTCCCAACACCCAGGTTCTCTCTGTGAAGAAGAGGGCTTGGGCCTGATAGATAGTGCCCTAACTCTAAGGTTCCTAACTGTAAGGTTCCTCATAATTTGGCTGTTACTTCACCAAATGTGGAAAGAGAGGGGATTAGACATATGCAAGACTCTATAGATCACAGGAAAAAAAAAAGTGGCAATTTGATATAAGTGACTAAGTGCTATAAGGAGCTTCATCTCCTGGTTGCAGTGCAAAGGAGGGGCCTTTCCAGGAGGGGTTTATAATATGCTCTTCCATGGCTACTTGGTAGCCTGGTTTCCTACTAACTTGTGCCAGGGAGTTAAAGGGGAAGACAAATGTTAACCCAGCCAGCACCCTGAGAAGCAAACCAGCACTCCTGGAGCATCCTCTCATGACTCACCCAAGGGATAATGCCAAGTCCATTAAACTCCTGGAAGGCATTTGTCCACACATCAAGCACTCCAACTTTTCCCACTTCCACTCAAAGGACTGCATCCTAAACCTCACAGCTCTGGGAGCAGTGGGGACAAAGTATATGCAAATCTTTATAGACCACAGAATAAAGTACAAGTTTGGTTTTTTTGTTTGTTTGTTTGTTTGTTTTTTGAGACAAAGTCTTGCTCTGTCACCCAGGCTGAAGTAGAGTGGTGCAATCTCGGCTCACTGCAACCTCCGCCTCCCAGGTTCAAGCGATTCTTCTGCCTCAGCCTCCTGAGTAGCTGGGACTACAGGTGTGTATCCAGCTAATTTTTATATTTTTAGTAGAGATGAAGTTTCACCATATTGGCCAGGCTAGTCTCGAACTCCTGACCTTGTGATCTACCCGCCTCAGCCTCCCAAAGTGCTGGGATTACAGGCATGTGTTACCATGCCCAGCCTAAATAGAAGTTTTATATAGGCATGCAAGCACTTCCAGGGGCTTCAACTCCTGGGAGCAGTCCAGAAAATGGGCTTCAAAAAAAAAATGCAGCTCTCTGTTTTTCCCTGGAAGAAATTTATGCCACATATTGAGTGTCCCAACATTTACAGCTACCTCTTCAAAGACTCAATCCTAAACCACCTGGTTCTCAGAGCAGAAAGGACTAGGCACATGTAAGCCTCCATAGATCACAAAACAAAGAGGTGGTCTTCAAGGAGCGAAAATATTTTCAGCCACTACAAGCCCTTGGAGCAGTCCAGAAACATGAAGGGGTGTCATGCAGCTCCCATTTTCTCTCCAAAAGAAGCTTACAGCACACACTTCCAGTGGCTACTTGACAGCTTGGCTTCTAACAAACTTACATCAGGAAGTTAGTTGTGCAGACAAACAATAATACTTCGGCAGCCAGAGTAGGGCACTTCATGAGCCTCCTCTCCAGCTCACCCTAGTGATAAATCCAAGCCTACCCATTTTTTCCTGGAAGGAGTTTGGTCATGCACTGAGTGCCACAACTTCTATAGCTCCCACCCAAGGGACTGTCTCCTTAACAAAGTACCTCTGGGAGTCAATGGGGTTTTGCATTTCTGAATGACCTAGACCACAGAAAACAAAGAGGTAGATGCACAATGAGTCCCTTTCCAGCAACTACCTCCTCAGGACCAGAAATTGCAGCCTGAATATATGTATAGTACATCTACTGAATGTACGTACAGGAGAGAGTGGAAAATATACCCATGCTCAGCTTCATGATGAGGAGAGAAGAAACAAAAACATACAGCCAACACTTCTACTTTTTCAGCTATATCTAGAGTGTCTGGCTCCTATATTTTCAGTCTAAGGGTACTGAGAGGATGTGACACCTCCTAAGCTTTGGGGGCTGCCAAAAACAAATAAGCAAGTCTGGACAAACCCAGTGTAAAAGGCAGCTTAAAATCTTTGGTCAGATAGAGTGGTGAGATCCTTCTCCTACATGAGGCCAGTCTGACAAGTCTGGTAGATGTAGTCATCATTTCTACTGCACAGAAAACAATACAGAGAGACAAGAACAATGAAGAAAGAAGAAAATATATTCAAAACAAAAGAACAAGATCAATTTCCAAAACAGACCTATGTGAAGTGGAGACATGTGATTTACACAACAGGGAATTCAACATAACAGTCATAAAAATGCTCACCAAGGTCAAGAGAGTAATGTAAGAATAAAGTGACAATTTCAACAAGGGATAGAAAGTATTAAAAAGTATCAAACATAAATCATAGATCTGAAGAATACTATAACTGAACTGAAAAATTCAATAGAGGTGTTCAAGAGCAGGCTAGATCAAGCAGAAGAAAGAATGAGTGAACTGAAAGGCAGCTCACAGGATATCACCCAATCTGAAGAGCAAAAAGAAAAAAGATTGAAAAAGAGTGAAGATAGCTTAAGAATCATAAAATGCCATCAACAGGAACAACTCATGCAATACTAATGTGCCAGAAGAAGAGAGAGCAAAAAGGAACAGAAACCATATTCAAAGAAATAATGACAAAAGACTTCTCAAGTCTGGGGAATAAAACAGAAAGCCAAAAGTAGGAAGTTCAAAGTACCTCAAATAAGATAAATTCAAAAATACTCACACCAAGACACATCATCAAATTATGAAAAGGTAAAGTCAAAGAGAGAGTGTTGAACTCCATAAAATTATCAATGGCTCTCTCAGCAGAAACACTACAAGTCAGAAGGGTGTAGGATGATATATTCAAAATTTTAAAAGGAAACAAAAAGACCTGCCAACCAAGAATACTATACCTAACAGTACTGTCTTTTACAAAGGGGTGATCAAAACATTTTCAGACAAACAAAAGTTGACAGAATTTATCACTACTAGACCTGCCTTACAAAAAAAATGATTAAAGGGGTTCTTCAAGCTGAGAAAGAGGATGATAATTAGTAAAATGAAAATATACAAAAGTATAATATAAAACGCACTGGTAAAAGTAAATACATTGTCAAATCTGAAACACTCTAATATTGTAATGACAGTGGCTAAATAAATTGTACTTCTAGGATAAAGGTCAAAAGTGAAAATAATTAAAAACATCCAAGGCCAAAATAAATTAAGAGATACAAATTATAAAAAGATATAAAGTATGAAATCAAAAATATAAAATGTGGCAGGAGGGGAAATAAAAGTGTAAAGTTTGTATATGTGATAAAAATTTTTTGTTATCAA
This sequence comes from Homo sapiens, assembly GCF_000001405.40. Taxonomy (NCBI): domain Eukaryota; kingdom Metazoa; phylum Chordata; class Mammalia; order Primates; family Hominidae; genus Homo; species Homo sapiens. Next base: position 97,597,945 of record NC_000005.10, on the reverse strand, counting down.
CTGGAAATAGCCTATTATACATGTAAGATGTTCTATGTAAGCCTCGGGGTAACCACAAATAAAAAGCCTATAATAAAAACAAAATATTTTTTAAAAAATCCAAAGTCTATTGTAAATTGTGCTGCAATAAATATATGTGTGCATGTGTCTCTGTAGTAGAATGATTTATATTCCTTTGGGTATATACCCAGTACTGGTATTGCTGGGTCAAATGGTATTTCTGGTTCTAGATCCTCAAGGAATTGCTACACTGTCTTCCACAATGGTAGAACTAATTTACATTCCCACCAACAGTATAAAAGTGTTCCTGTTTCTCCACAGCCTCACCAGCATCTGTTGTTTCCTGACTTTTTAATAATCACCATTCTGACTGGCATGAGATGGCATATCATTGTGGTTTTCATTTGCATTTCTCTAATGATCAGAGATTATGAACTTTTTTTCATGTTTCTTGGCCACATGAATGTCTTTTTTTGACAAGTGGCTGTTCATACCCTTCGCCCACTTTTTGATGGGGTTGCTTTTTTTTTCTCGTAAATTTTTTAAGTACCTTATAGATTCTGGATATTAGCCCTTTGTCAGATGGATAGACTGCAAAAATTTTCTCCCATTCTGTAGGTTGCCTGTTCACTCTGATGATAGTTTCTTCTGCTGTGCAGAAGCTCTCTAGTTTAATTAGATCCCATTTGTCAATTTTGGCTTTTGTTGCAATTGCTTTTGGTGTTTTCATCATTAAATCTTTGCTCATGCCTATGTCTTGAATGGTATTGCCTAGGTTTTCTTCTAGGGTTTTTATGGTTTTGGGTTTTACATTTAAGTTTTTAATCCATCTTGATTTAATTTTTGTATAAGGTGTAAGGAAGGGGTCCAGTTTCAGTTTTCTCCATATGACTAGCCAGTTTTCCTAGCACCATTTATTGAACAGGGAATCCTTTTCCCATTGCTTCTTTTTGTCAGATTGTTCAAAAATCAGATGGTTGTAGAGGTGTGGTGTTATTTCTGAAGTCTCTGTTCATTGGTCTATATGTCTGTTTTGTACCAGTATCATAGTTTGCCTTTGGGTAGCATGATGTGTCCAGCTTTTTTCTTTTTACTTAGGATTGTCTTGGCTCTATGGGCTGTTTTTGGTTCCATATGAAATTTAAAGTAGTTTTTTTTTCTAATTCTGTGAAGAATATCAATGGTAGTTTGATGGGAATAGCACTGAATCTATAAATTAGTCTGGGCAATATGGCCATTTTCACGATACTGATTCTTCCTATACATGAGCGTGGAATATTTGTTCATTTGTTTGGGTCCTCTCTTATTTCCTTGAGCAGTGGTTTGTAGTTCTCCTTGAAGAGGTCCTTCACATCTCTTGTAAGCTGTATTCCTACGTATTTTATTCTCTTTGCAGCAATTGTGAATGGGAGTTCATTTATGATTTGGCTCTCTGCTTGTCTATTGATGGTGTATAGAAATGCTTGTGATTTTTGCACATTGATTTTGTATCCTGAGAATTTGCTGAAGTTGCTTATCGCTTAAGGAGTTTTTGGGCTGAGAAAATGGGGTTTTCTAAATATAGAATCATGTTGTCTGCAACAGGATACAATTTGACTTCCTCTCTTCCTATTTGACTACACTTTATTTCTTTCTCTTGCCTGATTGCCCTGGCAGGAACTTCCAATATTATGTTGAATAGGAGTGGTGAGAGAGGGCATCCTTGTCTTGTGCCAGTTTTCAAAGGGAATGCTTCCAGCTTTTGCCTATTCAGTATGATATTGGCTATGGGTCTGTCATAAATAGCTCTTATTATTTTGAGATATGTTCCATCAATATGTACTTTATTGAGAGTTTTTAACATAAGGGGCTGTTGAATTTTATCGAAGGTCTTTTCTCCATCTATTGAGATAATCATGTGGTTTTTATCATTGGTTCTGATTATGTGATAGATTACAACCAAGCCAAATGGCCATCAATGATAGACTGGATAAATAAAATGTGGCACATATACACAATGGAATACTATGAAGCCATAAAAAAGAATGAGATAATGTCCTTTGCCGGGACATGGATGAAGCTAGAAGCTATCATCCTTAGCAAACACAGGAACAGAAAACCAAACATCGCATGTTCTCACTCATAAGTGGGAATTGAACAATGAGAACACCTGGACACAGGGAGGGGAACAACACACACTGGGTCCTGTTGTGGGGTGCAGAGCAAGGGGAGGGAGAGATTTAGGACAAATACCTAATGAATGCGGAGCTTAAAACCTAGATGACGGGTCCATAGGTGCAGCAAATCACCACGGCACATGTATACCTATGTAACAAACCTGCACATTCTGCACATGTATCCCAGAACTTTAAGTAAAATTAAAAATAAATAAATAAAATGTTTTTAGAAAATGAAAATATAAAAAAAATTTAATTTTTCTTTAAAAATAAAAATCCAAAGTCTATCACGATGGAAAGCCATCAAACCACAAAGAAAGGAAGACAGAATGGATTTACACAATGACCAAAATAAATAACAAGCACTAATAAGTCCATGCTTATCAGTAATTACTTTAAATGTAAATGGATTACATTTGCTAACAAAAAGGCAGAGTGTCTGAATGGATAAAAAACAAGACCCGGCTGGGCACAGTGGCTCACCCCAGTAATCCCAGCATTTTAGGAGGCCGAGGCAGGCAGATCACCTGAGGTCAGGAGTTCGAGACCAGCCTGACCAACATGGAGAAACCCTGTCTCTACGAAAAATACAAAATTAGCCAGGCATGGTGGCACAAGCCCATGATCCCAGCTACTAGGGAGGCTGAGGCAGGAGAATCACTTGAACCCAGGAGGTGGAGGGTGCAGTGAGCTGAGATCGCACCATTGCACTCCAGCCTGGGCAACAAGAGCGAAACTCTGTCACACACACACACACACACACACACACACACAAAACCAACACCCAGCTAAAATCTTACCTCATTTTATTGCATATCACTTTATTTTGCTTCTAATACATTGTAAGTTTTGGGGGTTCTATTTTTTTTAATTGAATGTTTGTGGCAACCCTGCATCAAATAAGTCTATTAATACCAATATTCCAACAGCATTTGCTCACTTCATGTCTCTGTCATATTTCGTAATGTTTGCTATATTTCAAACTTTTCATTTTATTATATCTGTTATGGTGATCTCTGATCAGTGATTTTGATGTTACTATTGTAATTGTTTTGAGGTGCCACAAACCATGACCATACAAGATAGTAAACTTAATCGATAAGTGTGGTGTGTATTCTGACTGCTCCACTAACTGGCCATGACCTGCCCCTCCCCCTCCTGGGACTTCCCTATTCCCTGAGACACAACAATATTGAGATTAAGGCAAATAAAAACTCTATAATAACCTCTAGGTGCTCAAGTGAAGAGTCACACATCTCTCACTTTAAATCAAAAGCTAGAAATAACCTTACTAAAGATAGCATATCAAAAGCCAAGACAGGCCAAAGCCAGGCCCCTCACACCAAATGGATAGCCAAGTTGTGAAAGGAAATAAAAAGTTTTTGAAGAAAATTAAAAATGCTATGTGAGTGAACACATTAATGATAAGAAAGCAAAACAGTCTTTTTGCTGATATGAAGAAAATTATAGTAGTGTATATGGAAGATCAAACCAGTCACAACATTCTTTTAAACCAAAGCTTAATCTAGAGCAAGGCTTTAACTCTATTTAATTACATGAAGGCTGAGAGAGGTGAGGAAGATGCAAGAAAAAGTTTGAAACTAGCAGAGGCTGGTTCATGAGGTTTATGGAAAGAAGCCATGTCCATAACATAAAAGTGCAAGGTGAAGCAGCAAGTGCTGATATAGAAGCTGCAGCAAGTTATCCACAAAATCTAGTTAATGTCATTGATAAAGGTGACTACACTAAACAACAAATTTTCAAGGTCTAGGTAGATAAACAGCCTTATATTGGAAGAAAATGACATATAGGATTTTTATAGTTAGAGAAGAGAAGTCAGCCTGTTTTCACAGTTTCAAAGGACAGGCTGACTCTCTTGTGAGGAGCTATTGCAGCTGGTGACTTTAAATTAAAGCCGATGTTCACTGACCATTCCAAAAATCCTAAGGCCCTTAAGAATTATGCCAAATCTACTCTGTCAGTCCTCCAGAAATGGAAGAACCAAGCCTAGATGACAGCACTTTTATTTATAGCATGGTTTACTAAATACTTTAAGCACATTCTTGAGACCTGCTCAAGGTGAAAACTATTTCATTTAAAATATTACTGCTCATTGACAATGCACCTGGTCACCCAGATGGAGATGTATAAGGATATTAATGTTGTTTTCATGTCTCCTAACACAACATCCATTCTGTTGCCTGTGAATCAAGACAGAAGACTTCTATCAAGCCTAACTTTCAAGCCTTATTATTTTGACCTTCAAGTCTTGTTATTTAAGAAATACAGCTTATAAGACTATAGCTGCCATAGATAGTAACTGCCCTGATGGATGCAAGTAAAGTAAATTGAAAGTTTTCTGGAAAAAGATTCACCATTCTATATGTCATTAAAAATATTCTTGATTAATGGAAGAAGGGTGAAATATCAACATTAACAGAATTTGGGAAAAGGTTTGGAAAAAATTTCCAAACATCACTGAATGACTTTGAGGGGTTCCAGACTCCAGTGGAGGAAGTAACTGCATGAGTTGTGGAAATAGCAAGAGAACTAGAATTAGCAGTGAAGACTGAATATGTAAATAAATTGCTGCAGTATCATGATAAAACTTGAACAGATTAGAAACTGCTTCTTATGTATGAGCAAAGAATGTGGTTTCTTCATGAAATCTACTCTTTGTTAAGATGCTGTTAACATTGTCAAAATGAAAACAAATGATTTAGAATGTACATCAACTTCGTTGATAAAGCAGTGGCAGAGTTTGGGAGAATTGACTCCAATTTTGCAAAAAGTTCTATGGTGGGTAAAATACTATCAAACAGCATTGCACATTACAGGAAAATTTTTTGTGAAGAGAAGAGTAAATCCATGCAGCAAATTTTATTGTTGTCTTACTTTAAGAAATTGCTATGGCCACCCTAACCTTCAGCAACCACCAACCTGATCAGTCAGCTGTCATCAATATTGAGGCATCACTCTCCACCAGTGAAACGATTATGACTCACTGAAGGCTCAGGTCATTGTTAGCAATTTTTAGCAATAAAGTATTTTTAGTTAATATATGTACTTTTTTACACATAGTGCTATTGCACACTTACTACACTGCAGTATAGTATAAACATAATTTTGATATGTACTGGGAAACAAAAATATTTTGTGACTTACTTTATTGCAACATTCACCTTATTGCAATGGTCTGATCAAAATCCTCAGTATCTCCAATGCATGACTCTATATGCTCTTAAAAGAGACTCACATCACCTTAAGAATTCTCATAGATTGAAAGAGAAAGGATTGAAAAAGGCATTTCATGAAATGGAAACAAAAAGAGAGCAAGAGTGCAAAGGTAACTATACTTAATTGAGACAAAATAGATTTTAGGACAAAAGTGTAAAAAGAGACAAAGATTATTAAACAGTGATAAATGGGTCAATCCATCAAGAAGATATAAGAATTGTAAATATATATATTTATATATAATATATATTATATTTTATATATAAATTATATATTATATTATATTATATATAAATATATATATGTGCCAAGCATCAAATCACCTAAATATAAAGCAAACATTAAGAGATCTGAAGGAAGATACATACTGTAACACAGTAATAGTAGAGTATGCTAGTACCTTGCTTTCAACATTGAAAAGATCATCCAGGCAAAAAATCAATAAGCACCCATTTGAATTAAACTACATTTTAGATCAAATGGACCTAATGGACATATACAGAACATTCTACCCAACAGCAACAGAATTCACATTCTTCTCAAGTACACACAGAACATTCTCCAGGTTAGATCATATGTGAAGCCACAAAACAAGTCTGAACAAATTTTATATTGCAATCATTTCAAGTATTTTTTTTCTGACAATAGTAGTATAAAACTAGAAATCAATAAGAGGGGAACTGATGAATAAACAATAAACGTGAATATTAAACAATAGTCTCCTGAACAACTGTTGGTTCAAAGAAGAAATAATTAAAGGAAAATTTAAAAATATCTTAGACAAATGAAAATGGAAATATAACATACCAAAACTTATGAGATGCAGTGAAAGCACTGCTAAGAGGCAAATTTATAGCAATAAACACCTACATCAAAAAAAAAGAAGATATTTAATAAAAAACCTAATGTTATTCATCAAGGAAAAATGGAAACAAACTAGGCCCCAAGGATCAGAACATAAGTAAATGTAATAGTGACTGGTAAAACAATACAAAAGATTAATAAAACTAAGAGTTTATCTTTTGAAAAGATAAACTAAATTGAAAAACCTTTAGCTAGACTAAGAAAAAAGAGAGAAGATTCAAATACATATAATGAGAAATGAAAGAGGAGACATTATAACTGACATCACAGAAATATAAAGAATCATTTGAAATTATTATGAACAATTATAAACTAACAAATTGGACAACTCAGAGAAATGGATAAATTCCTAAAAACATATAGCCTATTAAGACCAAATGAAGAAGAAATTGGAGATCTGAACAGACCAATAAAAAGTGAGGAAATTAAACTGGTAATTAAAAGTCTCTGATCAAAGAAAAGCTTAGAATGTGATGGCTTCACAGCTGAATTCTAGCCAACATTTAAAGAAAAAACAATACTAATCCTTCTCGAACTGCTCTGAAATATTAAAGATGAGGAGATAATTCCAACCTCATCTTACAAGGCCAAAATTACCCTAATACCAAAGCTAGACAAAGACATTACAGGAAAAGAAAGTCACAGGTCAGTATCACTGAAGAACATAGAAGCAAAAATCCTCGACAAAATACTAGCAAACTGTATTCAACAGTATCATAAAAGGATCATTTATCATGATCAAGTGGGATTTATCCCTGGAATGCAAGGTTGCTTCAACATATGCAAATCAATAAATGTGTTTCACCATATTAATAGAATGGACAAAAACAATATGATCATCTCAATAGGTGAAGGAAAAGCATTTTTTTAATTTAACATCATATTATAATAAACTTTCTCAACAAATTTGGTATAAAAGAAAGTTCCTCAACACAATTAAGGTCATATATGACAAGTCCACAACTAACATTATACTCAATGATGAAAAGTTAATGGCTTTTTTTCTAAGATCAGGAACATGACAAGGATGCCCATGTTCACCACTTCTGTTCATCACAGTACTGGAGGTGCCAGCCAGAGCAATTAGGTAAGAGAAACAAACAAAAGGCATCCAAATAGGAAATGAAGAAGTGAAATTATTACTGTTGCTGACAATATGACCTTATATATTGAAAATCCAAAAGATTCAACCAAAAAACAGTTAGAACTAATAAAGGAACACAGTAATGTTGCAGGATACAAAATCAACTTACAAAAAATAGTGGCATTTCTACATACTAACAACAAGCTGTCTTAAAAAGAAATTAAGAAAACAACCTCATTTACAAGAGCATAAAAATACTTAGGAGTAAATTTAACCAAAGAGAAGAAAGATCTGTGTACTGAAAATTATAAAACAGCAATGAGAGAAATTGAAGAGGACACAAATACATGCAAAGATATTTTATGTTCATGGATTGGAAGAATTAATATTGTTAAAATGTTCATACTTCCCAAAGCAACCTACAGCTTCCATGCAATCCTTATCAAAATTCTAATAGCATTCTTTACAGAAATTTTTAATTCTAAACTTCCTATGGAACCACAAAAGACCCCAAATATTCAAAGTCATCTTGACTAAAAAGAACAAGGCTGGAGGCATCACACTACTGGATTTCAAAATATATTACAAAGCTATAATAATAAATACACATGGTACTGGCATAAAAACATATATCAGTCAGTGGAATGAGATATAATGTCTAGAAATAAACTCATACATCTATTGTCAATTGATTTTCAACAAAGCTACCAAGAACACACAATAGGGAGAGAACAGTCTCATCAATAAATGATATTGGGAAAACTGGATATCCATAAACAAAACAATGAAAATGAACCTTATCTCAGTCCTTAAACAAGAATCTGTTCAAAATGAATTAAAGACTTAAACATAAGATCTGAAACTACAAAACTACTGGACAGAAACATAGTGGGAAAAGTCTCATGACATTAATCTGGGGAGAGATTTCTTAGATATGAACCCAAAAGCACAGGAAACCAAAGCAAAAGTAGACAAATGGGATTGCATCAAACTCAAAAGCTTCTGCATAGTAAGGAAAACAGTAGCATGAAAAGACAAGACACAGATGGAGAGAAAATATTTGCAAGTAATACACTGGATAAGGGGCTAATATCTAAAATATACAAGGAACTCAAACTATTGAATAACAAGAAAATAAATAACCTTATTTTAAAATGGGCAAAGGACTTGAATAGATGTTTCTCACAGAAGACACAGAAATGGCCAACAGATATATTTTTAAGCGCTCAACATCTTTAATCACCTGAGAAACGCAAATTAAAACCACAATGAGCATCACCTTACACCTGTTAAATTGGCCATAATCAGAAAGATGAAAGATAAGTGTTGGCAAGAATATGGAGGAAAGGAAATTCATATACTGTTGGTGGCACTGTAAATTAGCACAGCCACTTTAGAAAACAGTATGGAGGCTCCTCAAAAAAAAAGAATTATCATATAATTCACTAATCCCACTACTGGGTATAACCCAAAAGAATTAAAATCAGTATGCCAAAGGAGACATCTTCATTGCCATGTTCATTGCCTCATTATTCACAATAGCTGAGATATGGAAACAAGCTATGTCCATCAATGGATAAATGAATTTAAAATATTTGGTATATATACACAATGAAATATTATTCAGCCTTAACAAAATAGGAAATTCTGTCATTTTGACAAAGTGGATGAAACTAGAGGATATTATGTTAAGTAAAATAAGCCAGGCACAGAGAGACAAATATATGGTCTCAGTTATATGTAAAATCTAAAAACTGATAAAAGTAGAGAATAGAGTAGTGGTTACCCAGAGGCTAGGGGGTGGGTAAATAGGGAAAGCAAGATGTTGATCAACGGGTACAAAGTTATAATTAAATAGATGAAATAAGTTCTGGTGTTATATTGCTTGGCAAGGTGACTATTGTTAATATGAATGTATTGTATATTTCAAAATACCTAAAAGAGATCTTCAATGTTCTTACCACAAAGAAATTAATTATATCTAAACATCACATTGTGTCTCATAAATATATATAATTATTATATGTCAATTAAAAATAAAATTAAAAAGTAATAGTATATAACATTACATATTATATAACATTGAGATTCATATAAAGTAAAATATATTATATGTAATAATATATACCATGTTCCTATTTTATGAAATCTGCCAAACTTTAATATGTGAATTATCTGTACAAGCACTGCAGCCTCTTTTCTCTAAGTTAGCACAATCATACTCTGTTCATATCATGTATAAAACATTTCTTGTTTTCCTTACATGTTTTAAATTCTAGGTAAGTCTTATTTGTACTAACTAATATAATAACAATACTAAAATAAGATAATATAAATTAAAGGAATAAGAATTTTTCTTTGAGGGCTTATAACAGAGTTACACAGCAGAATTCCATTTCTCATTATGTTTTGTTTTAGAAAATAGGGAACTATGGGGAAAATAACATAGGTGAACCTATTTGGCATCTGCTAAAATGAATATCTACTAAAATAAAATACATGAAAAATATTCAGATATTATGGTTAAACAATAAGAAAAGTTCTAGTCATAACATTCAATCTGTGAAAGGTTTCTCAAACTATAAAAATTTAGCCTATTTAAAGTAAAACAAATGTAGAAAATTATAGTCTAACTAAATAATTATAAAAACTACCCTCTTTGCAACTGCAAGGAGAATTCTTGGAATTGTATTAAGGGTAAATGATGCATACGAACAAATCAAATGTTCTACCTTGGAGACTTTTTAGACAAATATACAATGAGTACTGCACACTCATTAAGAAGGATGTTGAACATCTATAGGTCCTCTCATAAAGAAATAGCTACTACATATTGTTTGATTAAAACAAAGAAAAAAGAACAAAGCTTTTCATGTAAGATTCCTTTCATGTAAGATTGATTACATAGTAGTTACAAATTTCAGAGTCAAAAGCTAAGATTATGTGAAAATATAAATTTTTAAATTTCTTATTTCCTCTCTAGTGGAAAAATTAAATTTGCCAATTCATGTTAAACTCAGTTATTTCAAACTTAAAATTCATTTACTGAGGGGTACATATTCAATTACTTGAGAATTCTAAAATCTAGCCTTTCCTCATCCTGCTAATCCACATTCCCTCTTTACCTTTTCTTCTTCCGATGACTGACCTAAGTTCTTGGGGCTCTTCTATGTCATCCTGGCATTAGAGGGAGGTGTCTGGGCCATGTGGAAGGGTATTTGTCCAGGCTGGCTTCTACTGACATGCACTAATATCTACACCAGACTCCAGTAATCACATTTCCTTGCCTCATCACTGTTTGCTTTTACGTGCCAAGTCTATGTAGGCTATTCTCCTTCCGCCTCCTTCTTAGCAGGAGGCTTACCCAGGATTGCCTTGTGGATCCCAGCCATATCCAAATCCCTCTTGGAGACACATGATACTCTTGGACTCCCTCCCACATCAAGGGGGAAGAGCAAAGGGCTCTTGTAGCTTTCAGGTCCACTGATAAGACACCTCTTAAACCATTGCTACTAATTACCACATTGGATGCAGAGATTCAGATTCTGCGCAAGACTTTCAGGTTTCACTAGTTTCACAAAGGAAAGCTAGAGAATGGTTTCTCTGTCATTTTGGGATCTCTCCCCAACCCTTTCATTCTGGGTACCTTCCCCCACAGTACTCAGCTTGAATGGTGGGTTGCTGGGTCTCTACTCAGGGAGCCATCATCATCTCTGCTTCTTCCTACAGCTGATGCCTTCATCTCCTGTGGAACAGGACATTGTTCTTAAATTATCAGGCTTTCTTCTAAGTTCTATTATGTATGGAATACACGAAGAAATTATGGGCTTTTTCCTTGGTATACAACATTTAACTTTTTCACTAAAAAGTATCTTCCTCTCAAATATTCTACTTTTTTAAATTAAAAATTACCTTGTCTTACAGTAAACCAACTTCTTTGTTCTTCTACATTCTAGTTGGTAATACCTCCCCTAGGGCAAATAAATCTCTTTTGAGGCAATTAAGGCCATTCTTGGTTGCATAGCTGAAAGGAAGAAGACTGCAGACAACACTAGTAAGCCTCTGTTAATATTGTCAAATTTTATCTTAACACACACACACACACACACACACACACACAGAGAGAGAGAGAGAGAGAGAGAGAGAAATTGAGAGAGAGAGAGAAGCATGCACACACTTTGGAAAATATGCATAGGAAAATGTCTATAAAGAACAAGATGTTATTCTTGGGTATCACTGGTTAATTGGGAATTTAAGTGTTGGTGATTTTATTTGTTTCCTTGATCTAAATTTTATAATGAGTACATACTGTGCTTTATAAAATATTTTAATGAATAAGATAAAGATTTCTTAGTCTCTTATAAGATAAAATTTTCTCTGAATTAAGCAGTGAGCCTGAGTGTCAAGGATGAGAAGCTGGCCTGAGTGATAATCATAACTCTTCCATGAAGCTAGCACACAAAGATGATGCCACCAACTGAAGTATTCATATAAATATTTTTCAAAAATATCATGATCTTTTTCTGCCTACTTGCATATATACCAAAGAAGAATTTAGCTAACCCTTCTCCTACGTCTACCTAAAAAATGAATCTCCAAATTCTATATGCTACTGAGATTACATGAAATCTCACCCAACTTAAACCTCGTGCACATGGTCTTTATAGATTTCTAATTTACATTCTTGAATTTCAGGAAGTCACAGAACATAATGGTTACATGCCAAAAAATTGGCAACAGGAAGATGCCGGTGTTAATACTGTCTATGCCAATTATAATAGCTGTTGGACCTTGTGTGAGGTACTTAACTTCTTTAGATAAGCTCTCAGGATCCTTATCTATAGAATGGGGTAAATAATGGTGCACACCTCAAATAATTATTAAAAAATCAATGTATGAGATAAATGTGAAATGTAAATATGCAGACAATAGAAGATTCTCAATAGAAGTTAGCTGCTAGAATGAGAACTCGAAGTACTATAACCACCTGCTCCACCAACTCTCCTCTTAGTATTGCTATTCTACTACTTTCTCCCAGGATGTGACTCTTCCCAGACCCATTTAACAATAGGAAGGAATTCTCTCATACTCTACGCCTGCATAAAGCTACGGAAATAAGTAACTAACACCATATGGTCAGGCAGAGGTACCTGGTCCAGCTCTGTAACTTGCTAGTTGCATGAATTTTAGCAAACTACTTAGCATCTTTAAATTTCATCTGTAGAATGGGGGTATTAATCACTATATCCAAGTGTTGTTATACCAGAAATAATCCATAGAAGGTGCTTAGTACAATGCCAACATATTATAAATGCCCAACGTGTGACAGTTATTCTTTCTTAGTGCATCATGAAATGTTGATATATCCTTTAATTATCCAACCTTAGCACTATTATCTAATTGTTAGCTATTATAATAAAGATAAACCCTAAGCTAGGTATGGTGGCATGTACCGGTAGTCTCAGTTGCTCAGGAGGCCAAGGCAGGAGGATTGCTTGTGCCCAGGAGTTTGAGGTTTGAGTGGGCAATGACTGCACTTGTAAATAGTCACTGCACTGCAACCTGAGCAACATAGCAAGACCCATGTCTGTAAATCAATAAGTAGAAATTCATTTTTGTCTTCTCAATCATACAAGAAAAGCATATTTCCTCATCTAAACACCTACTGACAACCATTATGGTATAAAACACACCAAAAAGTAGTCTAAAAATGAAACTAAATATTGATATGTCGATACCCACTGAGCATCAAATTGATTTATTGCTTTTAAAAATATTCAAATAAAATAATTTCTTATTTTAACTGCTTAATGGTGTTTCTCCTGGGTCCAAAAATGACATTAAATAGAACCCTAGCTAAGCTGCAAAGATGAATTACACATCATTATTTCCATCTGAAACGATAACAAAGAGGTTTGTTAATTTTTTATAAAATAATCATTATCTTAAAGTACCAAAGAAGGGGATGCTCTTTATCTTTTCACCATGAACATTCTTTTGTAAAATCAACATAACAATGAAATAACTGTGTTCTTAAGATCACTAAGAAAATCACTATTTCGGCCAGCTTAGTGTGTTTTATGAATACACTTTAGTAGACTGGCAGCCTCAGAGAGCAGCTTACAACAACCAGCCCATTCAATGCTATTTTAAGGTAGCTGTAGATTTTCTCTAATATAATGTGACTGTTTCAATCTTTTAATTTAAACTGAATTTTGGCTTTAATGAAGGTTTATCCTGGCAAAGAAAGCAAATTGCATTTTGGGGGTGAGTTCTACCTTCAACCAGAAATACAGTAGTTGTAGCAAGAAACAGCACACATTCTCCATTTTTTTTTTCTTTTTGATACTTATGCTTACTGGAAATTTGTCATTAAAATGTTCAGCTTCCAGAAATATCATCATCTAACTTACTTTTAGGGAAGATAAAAAACTAAATGATTCAGACCCTAAGTATTTATATTTTTCATCAAAGATAAGCATCTAGCACAGGGGTCAGCAATTCTGTAATTCTACAAGTGCTAGATAGTAAATACTTCGGCTTGGTGGAACTGCTCAGCTCTGCCATAGTAGTACAGAAGCAGTTGTAGACAACACATACATAAATGGGTATGGCTGTGCTCCAATCAGTTTATTTACAAAACCAGGGGGTAGCCAAGCTTAAGCTATAGTTTGTGGACCCTTTGTGTAAAACATGGGTCATATTCAAAATATAGAAAATACAACTCACTGTACAGAATACTTTGTGAAGAATTCAAGATGGAATTACACCAACTCACAGAAAAACTACTAAGCATATTCTATATCCAAGATTCAATGTTAAGTGCTATGAAAGTAAAATAGTAATGTAAGACCAACTTCGTATACTCGGGAAGCTCCTGATTTTCCAAGGAAGGCAACACTGGAACAGAATAAATTGATAGCAAAACTGGACATTAGGTAATGAAGTGTTAGATGGATAGGCTCAAATTAAGCTCAGGTCTTTCAGGACTCCAATAGGGATACACATTTATTTAAAACATTTTAACTAAACAAAGAGTGAATAACACTATTATCCCTGGAAAGGAAAAGTTGGCACCTTATTTATTGGTTAATCTCTTCTGCAGAATTACCTATCATTCCATATACCTACTTTCTTTATGTTTTATAATAATAGAAATTTTCAAAAATCTACGCTTATTCTAAGGACACAACATAAAGCCATACAAAATTGAGTTTTAAATTACATTTTATACATTTTATAGCTGTGGGCAAAACATGAAAATTTAGCATTTATGCTCAGGAATTCCTATTGACTTCTAAGAAAAATGTAATTCATCATTGCAAATTAGCTAAGGTTCAGAAGTCAATACCTAGGAGGAATACATACATATATAAAATAATTATTACACATATTATATATAATGTGACTGGTTTTTATATATGTATATATACATATGTATATACACACACACACACATATATATATATAAAGTATGAATAATGAGATTCTTTTTAAAAGAAAAATAAATCTGAGGATATATTCATTCAGTCTGCCATTGGATCCATTGTTAGGAAGGAAAAATATCAGTTAGATATTTTGAGTGTTTATACTGCTCTGAAAAAGCATCCAAAATTAGCTGGATTTTTAAACCACTGTAATTTATAAAAATCACTGTATTTATAAAGCACACTTAGTGGTACATCTCAGAAGTACCGCTTCCAGTATTTTTTGACCAGACTTGAAAAAATCTTGCTCTGAAACACAAGGTTGAGATAATTTATCAGAACCTGAAAAATCCTACAGTGTCCTGTTCCACATTTTTAGCTTTGAAATTTATGAATTGTTATATAGAACTTACTATGTATCGCCTGTCCTGTCTCTTGCAAAAATGCTTTTCAAATTTGCTCTCCTAAAGTATGATTTGGAATTAAATAGAGAGCTATATTTTGTAGCCTAAAAAAAAAAGTACTCCTGAAGCAGCAGAGCAACTGAGTTAGCTCAAATCATCATCTGAGGATAACCAAGGAAAGTGGACCCAAGATTAACGGCCTTTTGATGTTTGCCCACTGCTAGCACATGCCCCTGCTCACCTGCCCATTTGGTTCACAACACCTTTGGAATAGTCTTGCCAAGATATGTGTTTGCTTATTTTTTCAGGATGTTCTGTCCATGATTTTCTGTTCATCCTCCTTATTGAGGGGTGTTCTTTCCAGGATTTTCTATTCATCTTCCTTTTTCGGGGATGTTCTTTCCAGGATTTTCTATTCATCCTCCTTATTCAGGTGTGTTCTTTCCAGGATTTTCTATTCATCCTCCTTATTCAGGGAACCCCCAGAGTAGAGACTCACTTACTTGTCCCTGGTCTCATTATTCAACACATGCCACAACAGATTTAGCTTTCCTGTTTGCTTTTTAAACTGTTCAGGAAAAGATAAGAAGCTGCTAGGCTGGGTTTCAAGACATATTACCCAAAAATATAGCACCTTGGCATTGGAGAAAATAGCAGAAGCAAGAAGGTCACTCTCATCTTCCTCTCACTCTTTTCCACTGAAGCAGGTCATAAAACTTTGGAAGGTCACTCTCTGGCCTTCTCCCACCCTTCTCCCCTGAAGCAGGTCAGAAGACCTTCATTGCAGAAGTGCCCTCCCTATACTGAGACGAAGGAACATCCTACCTCTGAAGTCACAGGGACACAGATAAGAACCTGAATAAATAGACCTTGCTAGATTTCTCCCAGTTTATTACCGTTAGATCACCTCCTTTGGTCCTTCCTTCATATTTCTCCACAATCTTCCACTCTTTATCAAACCTAAGCATAAAAATACACAAGTTTACCCATTTCTTTGGGTCTTCATTTCCTTATGAAGGCTGTTTGTCATATAAAAACTTGTATTAAATACATTTATATGCTTTTATCTTACTAATCTCTCCTTTATTATAGGGACCTCAGCCATAAACCTTTAATAAAAGAAAGATTTCTTTTGTCCTACAAAGCCATCAGTTCTTAGCAATGAAAAAGGAGGGTTAAATCAATCACTTTCTCATGAAGGTGTGCTAAGTATTCTGTTGCTGTGTTTTACTTCCTCAACATCATGATCTCCCCAATGATTTACAAATATATAAATTTGTCCTGAAACTAATAATGATTTATTATCTTAAAATTATTTGGAGACTCTTTTATCAGATAATATAAAACTGATTAGTCATTATTTTCTCTGATTTTTTTCTACTAGTAAAAACAAATTAAAGGATTTTACAGGTGAAAAAAATTGTTTTGTGCAATAATATATTCTCATTTTTTAACTTGTATCCTACACTCAAACATGTGGCAAATACATCTGAAGTGATAAAGTAAATTTAAATAGCTCAAATTGTGTTCATAATAATACAAAGTAAAATAAATTGATATTTATTCTCATAATTGTTCATCAAACTACTCCTTTTCATGATAAATAATAACCAACAAATACTGATTATAATTTAATCCATGTGACCACTCAATTTTTCTAGCCCCTCTTGTATTCTGTCCAGTTTGCACATATTGGTCTTTTGCTCCCACACCTTATATTAGCTTTACTCCTTTTGGGCACCAATTAGCAAACCACTTGGCAACTGAAAACATGATAGTTTGGGGAGCATACTTTCTGTCTAGAACATAAGGAAAAAAGAGTAATGCAAAATAATGCATCAGATGGTGTTTCTGATGGCATCGTTTCAAAGGTTTCTCAGACTTCGTTACTGATCTCTGTCTGCCTCATGAGAAGGGATAAATCTTTCCTCATAAGTGTACCTTTTCTTTCCCTAAGCTAAAATCACCTTTTTAAAGTTTGTTCATTGGAATGTGGAAAGGACAGTGACAATAAGTCATCCATAACATATGTTGTAATTTCCCTGTATTCAGAGATTATTTAGTATGCTAAAAGCTGAGTCCATTAGGACTAAAGATGAACTTTCAGGATATGATCTCTTTGTAAAACCTTCAAAAATATTACCATATCTATGTGGCAATCAATTTAGTTTTGTGGTGGATGACAGCTAGTAAAAGGTATATTCTCATTGGCTTTAGTGAAAGGTGACAGCATGCTGGCGGTCCTCAGAGCCCTCGCTCACTCTCGGTGCCTCCTCTGCCTGGGCTCCCACTTTGGCGGCACTTGAGGAGCCCTTCAGCCCACTGCTGCACCGTGGGAGCCCCTTTCTGGGCTGGCCAAGGCCGGAGCCGGCTCCCTCAGCTTGCAGGGAGGTGTGGAGGGAGAGGCGCGAGCGGGAACCGGGGCTGTGCGCGGTGCTTGCGGGCCAGCTGGAGTTCCGGGTGGGCGTGGGCTTGGCGGCCCCACACTCAGAGCAGCTGGCCGGCCCTGCCGGCCTGGGCAATGAGGGACTTAGCACCCGGGCCAGCAGCTGCGTAGGGTGTACTGGGTCCCCCAGCAGTGCCAGTACACCGGCGCTGCGTTCGATTTCTCACAAGGCCTTAGCTGCCTTCCCGAGGGGCAGGGCTCGGGACCTGCAGCCCGCCATGCCTGAGCCTCCCACCCACTCCATGGGCTCCTGAGCAGCCCGAGCCTCCCCGAGTAGCGCCACCCCCTGCTCCACGGCACCCAGTCCCATCGACCACCCAAGGGCTGAGGAGTGCAGGCGCACCGCACGGGACTGGCAGGCAGCTCCACCTGCAGCCCCGGTGCGGGATCCACTGGGTGAAGCCAGCTAGGCTCCTGAGTCTGGTGGGGACGTGGAGAACCTTTATGTCTAGCTCAGGGATTGTAAATACACCAATCGGCACTCTGTATCTAGCTCAAGGTTTGTAAACACACCAATCAGCACCCTGTGTCTAGCTCAGGGATTGTGAATGCACCAATCAACACTCTGTATCTAGCTACTCTGGTGGGGCCTTGGAGAACCTTTGTGTGGATACTCTGTATCTAACTAATCTGGTGGGGAGGTGGAGAACCTTTGTGTCTAGCTCAGGGATTGTAAACGCACCAATCAGTGCCCTGTCAAAACAGACCACTCGGCTCTACCAATCAGCAGGATGTGGGTGGGGCCAGATAAGAGAATAAAAGCAGGCTGCCAGAGCCAGCAGTGGCAACGGGTTCCGGTCCCCTTCCACACTGTAGAAGCTTTGTTCTTTCGCTCTTTGCAATAAATCTTGCTACTGGTCACTTTTTGGGTCCACACTGCTTTTATGAGCTGCAACACTCACCGTGAAGGTCTGCAGCTTCACTCCTGAAGCCAGCGAGACCACCAGCCCACCGGAAGGAAGGAACAACTCCAAACGCCCCGCCTTAAGAGCTGTAACACTCACTGTGAAGGTCTGCAGCTTCACTCCTGAGCCAGCGAGACCACGAACCCACCAGAAGGAAGAAACTCCAAACACATCCGAACATCAGAAGGAACAAACTCCAGATGCGCCACCTTAAGAGGTGTAACACTCACCGCAAGGGTCCACGGCTTCATTCTTGAAGTCAGTGAGACCAAGAACCCACCAATTCCGGACACATTAGGACAATATTTTTATAGACAACAAACATTTTCAGCTAGCATTTGCCATAATTATCTATGAAAAGCTAACTTTTCCAATTCCATTTTTGCATCACTTATTAGTAAATCTCGCTGATTCTAAAGACACACTTTTTACATTTTAACATTTCTGGGATTGCGGTATTTGTCACAATCAGGACACCTTACAACCCCTGACAGCCAGCACCACTCATGCTGCAGATGTCCTGGCCTGGTAATGCCAAGCTTGTTACTTACAATGGCTTAACAGGGATGCCCAACCTTTCCATAGTTCAGACAATAGCGATTAAAGGACCATTTGAGAAGTGACGAGTCATGATTGTTGTTGGAAAACCTTCCTTTAACCACCCCTAGAAAGCTCAAGAAAGTGACCACATCAACACTTGGGGAACGGGTATCAACAGCTGGGCAAGGAATCCCAGAGAAAGAGTAAAGGGCTTTTTAGGACATGTTGGAACACACATGTTCATGGTGGAAAGAAAGGATAATATTTTGTAGAAAGACGAACATCTATGACTAGGTCAAAAAGTGACATGGAAGAGCAGACTGTACATGTGAAGTAATGTAGGAATTCCTTGCATAATATATTTTATGTATATCTCTTCTACATTTATTCGGAAGAATAACATATGGTAAAAACCCATGTTTAGTATGTTGAAAGAACTATTTCAATAAGTATAAAATATAAATCTATAGTAATAAGATGCTATACCATGATTTAATTGCTTTTTTATCCTCCCATTCTTAGTGGTAGATAAAGTAAGAAGAGTTTGTTTTAAATCAAAGGAATCAAATTCTACGAACTATAATAGCTCTTTTGGGTTAGGTATTTGAGCTGACTGACCTCAGAAGTACACAATGAGAACCACTGTGAGTTGCAACAATGTATCCTTTTTAAGGTTACCTTTTTCCAAGATAGAAAAGCTGATTTCTTATTGGTGACTAATTATTTTCAAAATCTTTAATTTTTCCAAATAATATTGAAACAATCATGAAAAGAGCCAAAATACCAAACATAGTATTTCTTTCATATTTGCTTGAACTTGTAGCTGACTTAAAGGAAATGAAACATCTTGGCTTTATAAATTGTTTTTCATGGAGCCCAAATGTCCATGAAAAGTAGTTACCCTTCCTTGGAGGATCACATTAGAAGAGATTTGAGTACTTTTGTGATAACAGGGGCATTTTTCCCAATTTTTAAGTTTCTAAATTTATGTTTTCTCTTCTTGACTCCAAATCTGCCATCTTCGCTCTTTGAGAGAAAATGTTTTTCTAAGTGCAGTAACAGAGAATGATGAGAGCATCTGAAGAATAGACATTCTTCTTGAAAAAGCCAGAGATTCAGAATAAAAATTTACAACTTAAAAATATTTGAAAACAGGTTCTAAAAGAAGCCTTGTTTTTCAGTGTTTTACTGGAGGCAGTGTGATAATAGAGGAAGGAAAGTGGGCTGCAGAAGCAGAGACTGACTTTTGAAAAGTAGGTTTCCTGATCAGCAACTGTAATCATTGGCAAGTTAATAGACATTTTTTTTACCTAAATTTTCACATGGGTAAATTTAGAATAATCATCATCTAACTGAGAAGGTTGTTGTAAGGATGAGTAGTTTTGACTGGTGCTTGGCACATAATAGCACCTCCAGAATTGCTACTAATACTATTAGCAACATCTGAAAAATAAAATTTGGGATAGCTGTGTTCTAGCCCCTCTAGCCACAGCTGGGTAAAAATATCTTTAAAAAACAAAAAAACTTCATGTAGGTTTCTGAAAATATAGTGTGACTGATTTGTGAAAGCAAACTAGCTGCTTCTCCAAAAATCCTTAAAATCATCCTCCCAAATCTACTAATTAGACCCTTTTTACTTAATTGAACTATAAATTTCATTTTAAAATAATGAAAGTCCAACCTGAACAATATACAGCTCCTAATTCCAGCTAGGAGGCAAGCCAAGATAGTAACGTCATAGCCAGCTGTGTGTATCTAAACTCCAAAAAGGTGTCAGTTGTGTACTTTCACATTTACAATTTGAGTCTCCAGATAAATTGTTTGTTCTAACTATTCTGAAGAAAAATTGGTACGTTCTAGCATGGGGCTTTGTTATTAATTTATAGAATGTGTTGTCAACTCTTAGCACAAAGATAATTTCTTTTTAACACCCAAGTTAAATTTTCCTGTGCACCTTTTGAACCCTCTTTATGTAAATTCCTATTCTGACCAAATGTACCAATGAGGCTGCATTTTATAGGCTTAAAAAACTTACTACTACTTGACAAATCAAAGCTTTCAGTCTCCTTCTCTTGCTTGTCACGGATGCTGATACTTCAAGCTTAAAAGACAGTCCTAGAAGGAAGACCTCCTGAGCTATACATTGCTTGAGATAGTTTAGTAGAAAGAAAGATGCTTGCATAGAGGCTGAATAGAGGAAGCCTATTGAGAGCTCACCGCCTAATTAGTGACAGGCCGTTGCCTCATCTGGACGGCATTATCTTAAAAGCTGCTCCTTTAATTTATCTTTTTTTCTCTTTTCAAAATTGATTGTGCCTAATAAAAATGGGACTACAAACAAAAAGCAAAACTCCATGAAAAACCAACTTCGCATTCAAAAATGTAAACTAAATGTTGTGAAATGTGAATGTTACAATCACACAGTAATGCAAATTAAGGAGTATCTTCCAAATTAATAAATTAAAAATGCAGAATTTAAAGTGGAGATATGTCTTAGCTTAGGCTGCTATAAAAAATGTCACATACTGGGTGCTGACTAATTCAGTTTCTGGAGAGGATGCTCTTCCTGGCTTGCCAATAGCCACCTTCTTGCTGTGTCTTCACATGGGAGGGAGGAAGGGAGGGAGAGGGAGAGGGAGAGAGAGAGATAGAGAGACAAAGCAAGCGAGCATGCTCTGGTCTCTTCTTTTATGGGTAGTAATCCCATAATGAGGACCCAACCCTCATGACCTCATCTAAACCTAATTACCTCTCAAAGACCCCAGCTTTAACTACCATCACATTGGAATTTAGGGCTTCAGCATATGAATCTGAGGGGGACCCAATTCAGTCCATAGAGCCACTCAGGCTGCAGTTGTCCTGGCCTGGTAATGCCAGTCTTGTCACTTACAATGGCTTAACAGGGATGTCCAACCTCTCCATAGTTCAAACAAAAGCCATTAAAGGACTATTTGAGAAGTGATAATGAGTCGCAATTGTTGTCTGAAAATCTTCCCTTAACCACTTCTAGTAAGCTCAAGAAAGTGACCCACGTCAACCATTGGCGACTGGGTCTCAACAGCTAGGAAAAGAAATTAGAGCAAATGTATATCATACAATGGACTTTAATGTCTTAAATTTTAAGTTTAATACGCCATCAAAATATTACCATAATATATAGAATATCTGATTAATGATTTAAAAGTCCTTAAGTGTTTTCCCTTATTTTAATATGAATGCAACAACAATAATTAAAATTTGTTTAATGTTTACTACCAATAGTGTGCTACAACTGGCTCATAAAAGCTACTAACAACAATTATTCATATCTCTCTCGAATTGAACATGCAGTGATGTCATCTTGTGGGTGTTTACTCCATCATGAAAGTATTTACACTACAGAAATTGGCAAGCACTTAAAATCAGATCTTCTGTTTGGAGAGCAATTTGTGAATATTTTACCAGCACACTACCATCTATTACACACCAGATATTATTCTAAGTACTTCACATTAATTCTCAAAACAGCCTAATGAGACAGGCACTATCAATTATCTCTAATATGCAAGGAGAAAACAGTGCACAGAGATACCGAGATTTTCCCAAGTTCAATCAACCCATAAATGACAGAATCAAAATCCAAATGAATGCCACCTGATTCCACAGCCTGAGCTCTTAATCACTTCTCTTGGTTACTCAATTTTTCTATGTCAAGTCCAACTCAATGTTTCTACATTTTGAAGGATTTAGACATTATCCATGTGTAACAGAATTAGAAGGCTTACCCACCAGCATTTTAAATTTGTTTTTCATAATTGAAATACTGAAAATGAAAAATAGACATTTACCTTCACCATGTGTTATTCTGCTATCAAATTCTTTGAGCTTTTTCCTATTTAATGGAAGTTTAATTACAAAAGCAAGATAGATACAGTATGTGTTGATCTCTAGTTCAAAAAAAAAACCATGAACAATTTACATGCTAATGAACAGCATGTGGAGCCAGAATAACAAAGTAGCATCCTTGAGAGGAACTTCAAGCATTCTCCACCGAAAGACAGATACCGTCAGAGGACCAGTTTCTAACCGTACATAGAATGAACAATTTATTTTCCTGCCAAAGGTAGTAATGTTCATCCCTGAGTACTGATGGCTTTTAGCCAGTAATTTTAATAGTCATTCTAATTCTGGAGTTTTCCCCTGGACATCTGCTTCATCTGCAACTTCTTACAAGGCTCTTACAAGTCCAAGGCTCACAGAGTAGACCATTAGATAGGCATTGCTGCTTTACAGTATTTTTTAGAATCTTTAGGAAAAAGATCCTCGAAGGTTGCTGAGATTAATGTTGGAAAACAAATTCATACTAAAATATCTGCATAAAGTTTACAAAGGACATAGGGAAACCAGGATATAGAAGTGTTGACTTGTCAGACTAGTTAAAAAATTATTACAAATCTTATCTCATGCCTAATTCCTAAACTATAAATTTCTTTAGTTAAAAAAATAAGAAAATACAAATATTCCATTCAGTAAAAAAAAAAAAATACTAAAAACTGTTCTGGTTCTTTAAAGAATACAAAAATCTATTCTTAAAGAAAGGAATAAAATAGCTGTTATTTCTTTCTATCAAAATGGCTAAAAAATTGGTTACCACCTTTGGGAAACAAGCATCTTGTTCCCTTATGACTTATATTCTTAGATGGTATATTCAAAACTACTTAGGGAAACAAAGACATTACTAATATAATATTAATATGTTCATTCAAGGTGCATTTGCTGCCTTATTCTTTTGTTTTTTGGTTATTTGGGTTTTGTTTTGTTTTTTTTACAAGAAACCATTTGAAGATTTTTCAAGATCCATGATAATCTCTGGGTTGGGTGTCAAATTAATTAGGTAAGCTGAAATAGGTCACCTGCAATACTTCAGTGTATTTTCAGCATATTGTTTTAATTTTAAACAATACAAACAATTTGACTTAGAATGATTAAAAATAAATAAATACAGGGCCAAGAAGAGTTCACATTCCCTAGTCCTTTATGACTTTTTCAGGAATTTCTAACTCCTATTTCAGGTTAAGAATTCTTACATTATTAAATAAATTCTAGGTGAGAACTACAAGGCAATATGAATGAGGATTAGCACTTAGTAATGGCATTTATTGTGATTTTAATCACATAAGCATGTTGTTTTCTAAACTTACTCTAAATCACAGAAGTTTGAAATGTAAAGAAGCTTAGATATGATCTAGTTAGACACCCCCCTCCCCGCCCCAATTTTAAAACTGAAAAAAAGGGTGGCTCTAGTTCACACACTGACTTTGAATGGAACTACACAGGTTTTCTTCTTGACTTCTGGTTCAATATTCCGTATTGGACTGTAAAGGACTAGGGAATGTGAACTCTTCTTGGCCTTGTATTTATTTATTTTTAACCACTCTAAGTTAAATTTTTTGTCCTGTTTAAAATTAAAAACAATACACTGAAAATAAGCAGTTTGGTGGGACTAGGAAAACAGCAGATTTAGATGTGGTTCTTCAACCAATTTGCTTTTGTTTCATCAAGCCAGTCAACGTACATGCTACAAGTCTCAGGTTTTTCCATCTGTAAAATGGGGACTGAACTAAACGATTTCACAGGGACACTACAAATTTAATCTGTCGTTTTAAACTTTTGCCTGTGTGAACATAAGGAGGATAAGAACAAGATTTAACTGTTCTAGAGATCACCACGGATCTATGCTTGCTGTCAACATTTTTACTTTAGAGAAAGAAAAGTGGAAACATCAGAAAAAAAAAGTTCTCATAAGAAGCTAGATACTATAGTTCTATGAGAAGTATAATGAAATTACCTGGGAGAGTTTGGACTTTAAGGTAATTTTTTCAATCATTGAGACAAATAGGAATAGCAACCACTTAAAATTTACAAGTAGTTTTTCTGCTATCAAAAGGGGGATATATTTAAATTTACCTAGAGGAAGATTTTTTTTTCCTTTTGATGTGATGAAGAATGCCCCTATGTTATTAGTTCTATAAATTTAGAGTGAATAGTTTCTTCTGTAATTGAAATTTTCTCAAGACTATTTGAAATTTTCTAAAGGCTCCAAGAGATTAAAATACTGTCCATGAAATTTCAAAAGTGTATTATTGGGCACAGGAGGAAACCTGGAGATTATGTCTACTAAGAAAAATGTTTTTTTTTTTAAGTATGCATTTGGACTGTTGTCTCTTAGTTAGTGCTCTTAAACAATGGTGGGTTTTCTTCTTTGAGAAGTTATTTGCAGAACATTGAGACCTGTAATGGAGAAGCCCTAAGACAGATTTTGTCCTTCATCTTAGGCTCCAGGAAAGACTCTGTGGTAGATGGCTACACTAATAGCACCAATGAGTGATACTTCCCAGTATCCACAATGTTTTGTTGTCCCATGTTGACACTGGATTTGGCCATGTTATTTTCTTTGGCCAACAGGATGACGACAAACATTGTGCTTTGAGAGCACCAAATCCTAGCCACTAGACCACCAGGGAAGACATGACTTTGAGATGCAATGTCTCTTAAGACACTGTGGTCTCCACTGAAGAAGTCCTGTCTAGCCTTGTTGAAGAAGAAAGGTCACACAAAAAGAGATGCCAGCCACTGCAGTTGTCTCAGCTGAGCCCAGCATCCAGCCAAATTATAAGCCACTTGAATGATCCCAGACACAGCAAGCAGAAAGACCACCCTGACAAGGAATTGTGGAAAATAATATATTTCCCAAGTTTTAAGTTACTAGGTTTTGTGTTGGTTTATTAGACAGGAAAAGATAATTGAAATAGCTTGAGATGGATTTCTTCTCAATGTAATGTACATTCTGTCAATAATCCTGCAGAGGTAAATTCTGGCACAGTTAGGAAGATATGATAACAGTCCTTAAATTGGGCAAGGACTAAAGAAAAATAATTACCCTTCTTCAGGGTCCTGGGTTTGTTTGCAGTAGAAGACAGAAATACCCAGAGAGCTGCCGGAGGTACTCAGAGAAAAGTAGAGTGGTAAATTGGTCTCTGTCATGAAAAGCTAAACTAGAAGCATAACAAAGAAGCAACTCAGTCAAGGATGATGATTATGATGGGACTGAGACCTTATACATTTTATTTTACTTCCCTACCATTATGTACTAGGTATACTACTTCTTTATTTTTCTTCTTTTTCATTATTCTTTCATGTAACACTTTCTTTAATCAGTAAGAAGCATTCTCATTTTGTTCACAAAGATTAGGATGGTTGAAACTGGAATGAAAAGAGAGAAGAAAAAAATTGTTTAACAACAAGGTTAAAGGGGGTACAACTCCCTTGAATTTATAGATAGGAAATAGAATTAGCCATTTATATTTAATGTAATTATCAGTATAATTGGGTGTAATTCTAATTTCTTGATATTTTTTCTATTTGTCCAATATGCTCTTTGTTACTTTTTCCCATTTTCTTGCCTTCATTTAGATTAATTTATTTCCAGCTGATATGGTTTGGCTGTGTCTCCACCCAAATCTCATCTCGAATTAAATCCTCCATGTGTTGGGGAAGAAACCTGCAATCTCCACATATGGAAGGAGGGAGGTGAGTGGGTCCTGGCAGTGGTGTCCCCCATGCTGTTCTTGTGATAGTGAGTCAGTTCTCACAAGATCTGATAATCTTTTAAGTGTTTGGAAGTTCCTCCTTCACTCTTCTCTCTCTTGTGACCTTGTGAAGAAGGTTCTGGCTTCCCTTCCACCTTCCACCATGATTTCAAGTTTCAAGAGGCCTCCCTAGCCATGCGGAACTGTGAGTCAATTAAAACTCCTGTCTTTATAGCTACCCAGTCTCAGGTAGTATGTGTTTAGCAGTGTGAGAACAGACTAATATGGTAAATTGGTACCAGTAGAGTTGGGTACTACTATAAAGATAACCCGAAAATGTGGAAGTGACTTTAGAACTGGGTAATGGGAAGAGGTTGGAATAGTTTAGACAGCTCAGAAGAAGACAGGAAGATGTTAGAAAGTTTGGAACTCCCTAGAGGCTTGTTGAATGGTTTTGACCAAAATTCTCATAGTAATATGGACAATGAAGTCCAGGCTGAGGTGTTCCCAGATAGAGATGAGAAACTTCTTGGGAACTAGAGTAAAGGTCACTCTAACTATGCTTTAGCAAAGAGACTGGTGGCATTGTGCTCCTGCCCTAGAGATCTGTGGAACTTTGAACTTGAAAGAGATGAACTGAAATTGGAACTTATGTTTAAAAGGGAAGCAGCGCATACAAATTTTGAAAATTTGCAACCTGATAATGTGACAGAGAAGAAAAACCCATTTTCTGGGGAGAAATTCAAGCTGGTTGCAGAAATTTGCATAAGTAATGACTAGTTGCATGTTAATCACCAAGACAATGAGAAAACATCTCCACGGCATGTCAAAGATCTTGGCAGCAGCCCCTTCCATCACAGGCCCAGAGGCCTAGGAGGAAAAAATGGTTTCATGGGCTGGACCTAGGGCCCCACTGCTGTGTGCAGCCTTGGGACTTGGTACCCTGCATCCCAGCTGCTCCAGCTCTAGCCATGGCTAAAAGGTGTCAAGATACAGCTCAGGCTATTGCTTCAGAGGGTGCAAGCCCCACAACTTGGTGGCTTTCATGTGATGTTGGGCCTGCAGGTACACAGAAGTCAAGAATTGAGGTTTGGAAACCTCTACCTAGATTTCAGAGGATGTATGGAAATGCCTAGATGTTCAGGTAGAAGTCTGCTGCAAGGGCTGAGCTTTCATGGAGAACCTCTGCTAGGGCAGTGCAGAAGGGAAATATTGGGTTGGGGTCCCCACACAGAGTCCTTACTGGGGCACTGCCTAGTGGAGCTATGAGAAGATGGCCACCATCCTCCAGACACCACAATGGTACATCCACTGATAGCTTACACTGTGCAGCTGGAAAAGCTGCAGGCACTCAACGCCAGCCCATGAATGAGCTGTGCCAGTCTAGGGGAGCCCACTCTTTACATCAGTGTACCCTGGATATGAGACATGAGGTCAAAGGAGATCATTTTGGAGCTTTAAGATTTAATGATATCCCTGCTGGAGTTTGGCCATGCATGGGGCCTGTAGCCTCTTTGTTTTGGCCAAGTTCTCCCATTTGGACCAAGAGCATTTACTCAATGCCTGTACCTCCATCATATCTAGGAAGTAACAAGCTTGTTTTTTATTTTACAGACTCATAGGCAGAAGGGACTTGCTTTGTCTCAGATGAGAGTTTGGACTGTGGACTTTTGAGTTAATGCTGAAATGAGTTAAGACTTTGGGGGACTGTTGAGAAGGTACGATTGGTTTTTAAGTGTAAAAAGACATGAGATCTGGGAGGGGCCAGGAGCAAGGTGATATGGTTTGGCTCTGTGTTTTCACCCAAATCTCATCTCAAATTGTAATCCTCACGTGTTGAGGAGGGACCTGTAATCCCCCTGTGTTGAGAGAGGGAGGTGGTTGGATCACAGAGGCAGATTCTCCCATGCTGTTCTCATGATAGTGGGAAAGTTCTCTTGAGCTCTGATAATTTTATAACTGTTTGGTAACTCCTTCTATGCTCTTCTCTCTCCTTCTGCCTTGTGAAGAAGGTGCTTGCTTCCCCTTCACCTCCACCATGATTGTAAGTTTCCTGAGATCTCCCAGCCATGTGGAACTGTGAGTCAATTAAACCTCTTTTCTTTATAGTTACCCAGTCTCAGGTAGTATCTTTATAAAAGTGTGAGAATCGACTAATGCACCATCTTGGCTTGTTAAGTATACCTTTTAGTTTTATGTTATTTTGGTGATTGGTCTAAGCTTTATAAAATACAGTTTTAACTTATTATAGTCTTCAAATAATGCTATACTATTTCACTTAAAGAGTACAACAGCAACATATTTCCATTTACCTCCCAAAATTTGTGGTATTATTGTCATATGTTTTACTCCCACATATGCTAGAATGCCATGTTTATATTTTTGCTTTAAATAATTTTTTTAATTTTTAAGTGGGAAAATATGTTTTATGTTTCTCTACACCATTCTAGCATTATTCTTTCAATTATTTAGAATCACATTACTATCTGGTATTATTTTGCTTTTGGTTAAAAAACTCCACTTAACTTTTTTTTTCTTTTGGAACCCAAGTCAGCTAGTGAGAAATCTTTTAGTTTTTGCTTGTCTAAGTCTTAATTTTGTCTTCACTTATTAAATTTTGTTTCTGAATAAAGAAACCCCTGTTGAATATTTTTCTTTCAATACAGGCATATCTCTAGATATGTGAGTCTGGTTCTAGACCACCACAACAAAGCAAATGTTACAATAATGAGTCACACAAATTTTTTGTTTCCCAGTGCATATAAAAGTCATGTTTATACTATACTGTAGTCTATTAAGTATGTAATAGCATTATGTCTAAAAAATACATTTTTTAGTTAAAAATACTTGATTACTCAAAAATGCTAATGATCATCTGAACTTTCCATGAGTCATAATCATTTTGCCAGTGTAGGGTATTGCCATAATGTTGATGGCTGCTAACTGCTCAGAGTGGTGTTTGCTGAAGGTTGGGGTGACTGTGGCAATTTCTTAAAATAAGACAACAATGAAGTTAGGCACATTGGCAGACTCTTCCTTTTACAAAAGATTTCTCTGTAGTACATGATGCCGTATGATAGCATTTTACCCACAGTAGAACTTCTTTCAAAATTGGAGTAAATCCATTCAAATCTTGCCACTATTTTATCAACTAAGTTTATGTACTATTCTAAATCCTTTTGTCATTTAAACAATGATCAGAGCATCATTACTAGGGGTAGATTTCATCTCAAGAAACCACTTTCTTCTTCATCCTTAAGAAGCAACTCCTCTTTCATTAAAGTTTTGTCATGAGATTGCAGCAGATAAGTTACCTCTTCAAAATTCACTGCTAATTCTATTTCTCTTGCTATTTCCATCACATCTGCAATTACTTCTTTCACTTAAGCCTTGAACTCTTCAGCCATTTATGATGTTTGGAAATAACTTTTTTTCCAAACTGCTGTTAATATTGATAATTTATCAATGAATTACAAATATTCTTAATTGGATCTAGAAAGATGAATCCTTTTCAGAAGGCTTTCAATTTACTTTGCCCAGTTCCATTATAGCAATCACTACCTATGGCAGTGACAGCTATAGAAAAATGTACTTCCTAAGTAATAAGACTTGAAAGTCAAAATTACTCCTTAATCCATGGGCTACAGAATGGATATTGTGTTATCAGGCATGAAAACAACATGAATCTCTTGCACATCTCTGTCAGAGCTCTTGGGTGACTTGCTGCAATGTCCATGAGCAGTAATATTTTGAAAGAAATCTCTTTTTCTTCTGAGCAGTAGGTCTCAATAGTGGGCTTAAAATATTCAGTAAACCATGCAGTAAATAGATATGCTGTCATTCAGGCTTTGTTGTTCCATTTCTAGAGCACTGGCAGAGAAGATTTAGCATCAGTCTCAAAGGCCCTAGGATTTTTGGAATGAGCACTGCCTTCAACTTAACTCACCAGCTCCATTCACCCCTAACAAGAGTCTGCCGGTACTTTGAAATTTTGAAGCCAGACATTGAAATCTCCTCTATAGCTACAAAAATTCTACATGGCATTTTCTTCCAATAGAAGGCTATTTTGTCTACATTAAAAATCTCTTGTTTAGTGTCACCAGTTTCATAAATTATCTTAGCTAGATCTAGATAACTTGCTGCAGCTTCTATACCAGCATGTGCTGCTTCACTTTGCACTTTTTATGTTATGGAGACAGTTTTTTTCTAAATCTTAATTAACCAGCCTCTGCTTGCTTCAAACGTTTCTGCTGCAGCTTCCTAATATCTCTCAGTCTTTCTAGAATTGAAGAAATTTAGGTTTTGCTATGGATTAGGCTTTGGTTTAAGGGAATGTTGTGGCTGGCTTGATCATTTATCAAAATCACTCAAACTTTCTCCATATCAGCAATAAGGCTGTTTCACTTTTTTATTATTTGTGTGTTCCCTGAAGTAACACTTTTAATTTTCTTCAAGAACTTTTCCTTTGAATTTCCAACTTGGCTAATGCTGGTGCAGGAACTCTTGCTTTCAACCTGTCTTGACTTTCAACATGCCTTCCTACCTACGATTAATCATTTCTAGCTTTTGATAAAGTAGGAGATGTGTTAACTCTTCCTTTTACTTGAACACCTAGAGTTCATTATAAGGTAATTAGTTGGACTAATTTCAATATTTTTGTATCTCAAAGAATAGGAAGGCCTCAGGCTAGAGAAAGAGATGGAGGAATGGCCAATTGGTGGAGCAGTAAGAACACACAAATCACTTATGGATTAAAGTTATCATCATATGGACACAGTTTGTGGCTCCCCAAAACAATTACAATAGTAACATCAACAATCACTGATCACAGATCACCATAGGAAATATAATAATGAAAAACTTTGAAAATATTGCAGAAATTTCCAAAATGTGAAAGACACAAAATGAGCATACGTTATTGAAATAATGGTACCAATAGACTTGCTTGACACAGGGTTGCCACACAAACCATCAGTTTGTAAAAAAAAAAAAAAAAAAAAAAAAAAAAAAAAAAAAGCACTATCTGCAAAATGCAGTAAAGTAAAGCACAATAAAAGGAGGTATGCCTTGAAATAGTTTGGATGTTGTCCCCACTCAAATTTCCTGTTGAAATATAATCCCCAGTGATGGAGGTGGGGCCTGGTGGGAGGTGTTTGGATCATGGGGGCAGCTTTCTCATGAATGATTTAGTACCATACTATGGTACTGTCCTCATGATACTGAATGAGTTCTCATGAGATCGGATCATTTAAAAGTGTGTGTGGCACTTTCCCCCGCCTCTTTCTTGCTCTTGCTTTCACCATATGATGTGCCTGCTCAGTCTTCACCTTCTGCCATGATTATAAGTTTCCTGAAGCCTCCCCAGAAGCTGACCAGATGCAAGCATCATGCTTCTTATGCAGCCTGCAGAACTATGATCGAGTTAAACTTCTTTTCAAGTTACCCAATCTCAGGTATTTTTTATAGCAATGGAAGAACAGGTTGATATATGCCTGTACTTTAAAAATGACTCTCTACTATCTTCTGGCTTGCATAGTTACTGATGATAAGTTTGCTATAATTTTTGTCTTTATTCTTTTGTATGTCATTTGTCTCTTTTTCCTGGATGCTTTTAAGATTTTTTCTTTATATCTGGTTTTTAGCAATTTGACTATGATGTGTCTTATAATTTTATTTAGTTTTATTTTGCTTAGGGGTCCTTAAGACTCTTGGATCCATAAATTATGGCTTCCATAAAATTTGTAAAATCTTCAGCCACTTTTTTTCAAATATTTTTCTGACTTCACCACAATATCCTCTCCTCTGAGGCTCTAATTACACATTTGCTGAAACTTGATATTGCAACAGCATTCAGCAACCAACAACATAAAATTCTGAAATTCAGTTATATAATGAAAAATTATTAGGCATGCAAAGAAGCAGGAAAATCTGACCCACACAAGAAAAATATTCAAATTTTTAAAAAACTGAAGTTACTGGTGCTGTTTTTGCTTTTATTTTTGTATCATTCAATTTGGATAGATTATATGTCTTTGTCTTCAAGTTTGGTGATCTTATCTTCTGCAGTGTCCAATGTGTTCATCTGTTCCAGTCATTTTCTATTTCATATCTTTTATTTGTTATCTTTGAAGTTCAACGTAAGCTCTTTTAATTTCTAATTCTCTCATCATTTTTATCTTTTCTTCTACCTTCTGGAACATATTAAAATTGTTTATAATAGCTGTTTTAATGTTCTTGTCTACGAGTTTCATCATCTTTGTCATTTCTGGGTCTGTTTGTATTAAATTTGAGTTTTTCCTGATTGTTGGTCATATTTTCTTGCCTCTTTGCTTGCCCGATAATTTTTTATTAGGTGACAGAATGTTACGTTGTTGTTTACTAGATTTTGTTGCATTCCTTTGATTCTGAGTATAGTTAATTTATGTAATAATTGTATTCTTTAAAATCTTGCTTTTAAAATTTGCATGATAGGCTAAGAGAATTCTTAAGTCAAGTTAATTTACTTCCATTAGTAACCACTCTGAAGATTCTATAATGCTGTGAATATTTTGTGAGCTTTCGATTGTGATTTGTGGAAATATAAACTATTCCAGTCTTGTAAAAGCTCTGGAAAGAGTCTGGAAAGCGTTTCATGCATCTCTTCTGGTGACATTTTTCTTGGCCCCTGGTAGTGTCTTCTCATGCATGCTCAGATCAGATTTAGCCAAAAAATGTGAAAGTATCTCTCCCTCTCCTTTCTTTTTACCTCCCTCTCTCTCTCTTTCTCTCTCTCTCATTCATTCTCCATCCTCCCCTTACTCCAGTACATCACCCACCAAACTGTAGCCATGATAGCCTCTCTGAACTCTGGCCTCTGTCTCTTCCATTTAGCAAGACTGTCGGGCTGTCTTTGGGTCCACGCTATCTGTACTGCAGCTTTAAAACCATGCCCAGGAGTAAGCAGGAGAAATTGTAAGTTTTAACTCATTGGTTTTCTTTTTCTTAAGGAACTTCATCCCGTGCACTTTGTTTTTCAATGTCTGAAGACCTTTCTTTTTTCCTTTTTTTTTTTTTTTGAGACAGAGTCTCACTCTGTCGCCCAGGCTGGAGTGCAGTGGCACAATGTCAGCTCGCTACAACCTGTGCCTCCCATGCTCAAGCAATTCTCCTGCCTCAGCCTCCGGAGCAGCTGAGATTACAGGTGTGCACCACCATGCCCAGCTAATTTTTGTATTTTTAGCAGAGATGGGGTTTCACCATGTTGGCCAGGCTGGTCTCAAACTCCTGACCTCAGGCGATCCACCTGCCTCAGCCTCCCAAAGTTCTGGGATTACAGAAGTGAGCCACCATGCCTGGCCCTGAAGACCTTTCTTTTACATATTACTGTCAGCATTCTAACTGTTTAAGGAAAGAGTGTTAATCCAGAATCTATTACTCTAGCTTGGCCAGAAGTAGAAATGAGGCAATTCTTTAGTTTGTTTCTTGGTTGTTTGGCTGGTTGGTTGGACTTTTTTAACATTGTTTTATTTTGTTTATAGGAGGAGATTTCCTAAATTCCAGCATCTCTTCTAAAAAAGTCAGACCATGTAGATGCCAACCTATTGTTAGAAATTAAGAGAAAAGGCCTATATCATGCTTAGGATAGACTAGCCAGAGATTCTACCCCAAGATCAGTTATATTTCTGAAGACATCTCCAAAAGAATGGTTGTGTCTGTCCAGGCTGTGCCTATCTAGGCTGTGCCTGGGGCTGACACCCAACTGTCAGTCCCAGCTGAGGTAGGATCATGATTGCACATATGAAAACCAGCAAGCAAAGGCCAAGTGAACCTTCTTTGAGCATGTGAGGGAAAACCCTTGAAGGGATGTCAGCAGTTGAAGGGCAACTCTGTGAGAGACTCCAGTTTCTGGCAATAAAGCAAGTGCTTTGTGCCATTATATTGTGTTTGTTTTTATGGGTTATATAATAATAAAAAATCCCATACGAGAAAAGATTTAAGTAGAATTTCTTGCTGAAAGACCAATCTGGTATTCTCTCCCTGTGGAGGAGTACAAATCAGCCCGCTGGGACAGCCCAGCTGCATATGTACCAGGTTGAATAGAAGGCTACTGTACAGCCTGGGGCATCAATCACCTGCACTACATCTCCCTGCTGATGGAGCAGGAGAGTAAAGCATGAATGGACTCCTTTCTCTCTCTCTCTCACTCCCACTCTCTTTCTCTCTTTCCCCCTTCCTTCTTCCTTCTCCATATCCCTTTTCCTTCCTTCTTTTCTTCTTTTCCCTCTGTCCTTCTCTCTCTTTTTCTTCCAAGAGAGAAGGCCCATTAAGAAAATCTGGGCTAGGAAATTACATAATAATGCAATAATAATAGATGAGAGTAGGGTGGCAATACTGGTGCTTTTTTATTTTCTTTATGCTTTTCTATATTTTCCAGTTTTCTACACTAAACATATAAAACAGTAATAATAAAACTATTGTTTAAAGAGAACACACAAAAATGTTATCTTCCAGGAACCTAGCTTAATTCCCTAATACAGAGCAGATAATAGGTGTCTGTTTAATAGAGGAGGAAAAGTAGTAATGTTTGGAGGTAAGAAAAACAGTGACACTCTCTATTAGTTTTTTAATTGCAATAATTCCATTCTCTTTGATCCCTTCAGAACTCACAACTCTTCTAAAGAGCCTCCATGAGGTTTCTAGCTTTCTATTTTAAGAAACGCAAGCTTCACACTTTCTATAACATGAAATTGTTAATCGTCATGAAGTAATTTAACCTCTATATAAATTAACCCCATATCCCAAAATATAAAAATAGCCAATGCTAAGTCTAATTCCTAAAGATAACTCTAGAATCACCTTGCCAATAGCAGACTGCTTAGTGCTAGGTCATTACTTTGAGGATGGCCATTCCTCAGCAAACACCTCAGATCCTGCTGGGAGCTGGCTTTCCCTCAAGGCCATCTTCAACTTCTCTATAAAAGACATTAAAATAAGTGAAAAGTTTACTAATAAACCTATACATGAATAAAGAAGAGGGGTTTGTTTCTTTTTTCTTTGGTTGGAAGTAAACACCAGTGTATATCTCATAAAACCATTTACCCTTACTAAAAGTTAAACATATAGTGAGAATATGCACATAAATCAGAGAGTTATCAAAACTATTTAGGAAAAAAATGTTTAATTTATTCTAGTTGAATGAATTGAACACACTGACCTAACACCTGCACTACGCCATACTGGGGGCACTTCTAAATGCATTTGCAGGTGTGGAAGCTCACTGGCTACCAAAGCGCATGTTCCTAACGGTGTTCTCATCATCCTTATGCTACTTGTCCCTCCACCCATGCACATATTTCATATCTATCTGGGGCGACTGCAAATAGTAGGTCTTCAACAAACATGTTAAATTGAATAATATTTTTGTAATAGACCTATGAAATCATTTGACATAAAATTTACTTAAAGTAAAAATTGACACTCATTTTAGTTCTGCCATATGAAGCTACTCAGAAATAGTTTCTTCGCTCTTTTACTTGCCACCCTACATAGTCATTGTCTTTTCATTTGTGTCCATCCCCTAAAGGTAGAGAGCATTTCAACCACTGCCTGCTGCTGCCCTATGCCTTCCACTAAGAGCTGCATTCATTCATTCATCCATTCATTCATTCATTCATTTTTTCACTTATCCCTCCATCCATCTATTCAAGAAATCCATGGAACATGAAAATATTTGAAGACAGTCTTCACGTTCTTCCTAAGTCTTCTCTTCATCTAACTAAATATTCTCATTATCTTCTTTATCATTCTTATTGTGATAAGTGTTCTAACAAAGTCAAGGGATATTGAGAGGCCAGAATCAGGGTGTGTGAGGGAAGAACTATTCCCTCTCTCTCTTGTTCTAAGTCCAAGCTTCTGCTATTACAACATTCAGAACACTCATTCAAAATGGATAAAAAAGATGTTCTGGGAACACAGTAATTTAAAAAAATCTAATATCTAATAATCTAGTAAAATGGAATTATGGTTTAAAAACACTATTATGTTACTGAAAGGTACTTTAGAGGAAGTATTATGTGTAATGCCATGTAAGCCTATTTTTTGCCTACAAGTTATGTTTTACTTTTCTAAACTTTAAAAATTCATTAACGTTAAAACTCTAAGGGATCACCAATTGCCTTTTGGATGTTAAAATAACACCAGCAAATGCAGTATTATATCTTTCTAAGCTACTACTTAGTATTTCAGTATCACGATCATCCTTAAAATGCACAACAGAGAACCAACTCAGTAATCAGTATTGATCTTTTAACTCCTCTGCACATAATGACTTCAGTGGGGCTAGTGCTTTTCTACTGATGGCTCTCAGAGCTTTAAAAATCATAATGCTAATGAAAGACTGAGGACAAACATTGCAGCTATGGCCTTAAAAATACTGCATGATCCATATCTTGGAAAGGAATCAGAAGGGAGACCACATCCACACCTTAGTGAATAGCAGTTCTTAAAATGCCTGCTCAGCCTTATGAAGACTGGAGCCACCAGTCCCATGCCATGTTGAGTGCTCATCTTTGGATATCAACAGAGACCGTCATTTTTGAGCAGCTTATCCTCTCATTAAGAAGACAATTAGTATTCACACTATCTACTCTGAGTTTATAAAAATAATCCCTCAAACATTTAGGCAGGCTTCCAGCTGAATCTCTAATGTAAATGATTTGGCTTAAAGTCAATGGAAGGTGATTTTCTGTGATACAACCAGCTCATGTCAAGACATTTCAGGGAACTTCACTAAAACATACAGATCTTGTGATTCATTTTTTTAAAGCTCTGTGGCTGACATGCCCTCACTTGAACAAAGTTCCTTTCCAGATCATGGGGCCTTTTCATTAATGCCTGAAGTTGTATCTTTCTTCTTTAGTCTACATTACCTGGGGGATCAATTGCAAGCAAAAAGGAATTCACTTTAGTAAACCTTGTGACTTCCCTGAATCCACAGAGCCTTCCAGAAATCGAGGCTTTATGCCAGCTCATTATTATCCTAGCCATGTGGATCCCCCATTGAGCAATTAGGAAATAAAGAGTTTTATTATCCTAGGGAAAAGAAGAATGCAATGAAAACTCCATGTAAAGAAGAAAACATGAAATTTAGTATTTTGTGGCATTTTAGTCTAGCCAATGAGAAAATCCTGTATTCACTGCAGATATATAAAAAGATAGTCATTGAATTGAACCAGAAATAAGCCTGAAAACTTTTTTGCCTTCCCACTCTGCTTCTACATAGCTGCATTATTCATAGCCATTTGTTTTTCCCTTTCAGATGTGGGCTCACACTTTCTGCTTCAGAGCTATCGTTCAAGGCTTATTCTGATAGAAGTCACTAATTTTCTTTTCTGTACTATCATTCCACACTGGGCTCAACTGTATATAGGGCATTTTGAAGTCATGGGAACCGCTGAGACAGAGAAAATACATAAAACTTTGGACATGGATCAATTGAGCAAAAATATAGCTATGGCTTAAAAAATGCAGGGGCCTAAATATAAGTTGGTATCTTTCTTGATTTTATATTCAATTATAAGCATATATATCTAATAAAAATCCCCACCCCCCGGTGAGTCATTATTTTACATTTAATTTTCTCTAGTATATACCCTTTTAACTTCTGGACAAATCAACATTTGGGTAACATTCATTGAATAACATTCATGTTATTTAAAAATTCATTTACATGTGTCAATCTTACCGTACCCATGTATATTTTTAAAAACTTGGTGTCAAACTAGGCTCTCAGTTTCCTGCACATGCATGCACGTATTGTGTTCATGCATAGACACACACACACACACATACACACAAGCACACATTATCTGCCTAATAACACAACCACAACATCAAAAATATTTGTTTTCAGATGAGCAGGTCAAATGGTAGCTCCCTTTAACTTAAACTTCCCTAAAATTGGAACTCTTACTGGGGAGGGAAAATGTAATCCATTACACAAAGTACAAGTGGTTAAGCTAGGAAGTTTATATAGATAATCCTAATGAGGTAGATAACTAGCTCACATTTCATTACTGTAGCTTATTTCCTGGAAACTGCAGATAAATTACTGTAAGAATTACAAAAGCTATATGAATACAACACATGACAAAAACTAAAAAATTCCCTTGAACATATGTGGCAAGCTAAAAGGAAATAGGGCCTTCTCAGGCCACCACTGTTCTCCACCTGGCCAGTCTCAGCCTCCCTCAAATGCAAATCCATCTTCAAAAGCCATGTCACTTACAGCCAGGTTTATGGAGAAATAGTCATCCCCACACATCATACATTTTCCACACATCATCTCTTGAGCATGTCTGCTTGAACCCTGCAGTTCTCCGCCCTACGAGAGTTGTTCTACTTCTCTTTCTCCATCACAAATTTCTTCTTTAAGCCTTTCCAGCCTTCTCTTCCTTCTCCAACATACAGTCAAATGCTATTAGCCCACCTACCACATTCGGAAATCAAAAGTTAACCACAAAAAAGAAAATGTAAACCCAATCTGTTACCAAGATCTGCCCGCGAATATTCCTTGGGTGTATCTGGATTGGAAGGGAGCTGGCATCAGTCTGGTACTAAGCAAATTGCTCTCTCTGTTCTACATTCTCATCATGACTACTTATCTCTTCTCATCCTTTACATCTCAGCACAATTATCACCTGCTGAGAAATGCTCCTCTGAATTATTCGACAGAGTCAAATTTTTGTTTTATATTATCCTTAGGCCCACATGCACCTCTTTGGTAACACAACACAGTTCTGACAGTGTTTTGTGTAACTGTGCTTAATGTCCACTGCATACAGTAGACAACATAAATCATAAAGACAATAATACCAGCTCTTGTTTTCTTATCACCACCCCAAAATCTAGTACACCATCTAGAATATAAAAGGTGCTCAATTAATATTTCTTGAATGAATGAAAGGCTGAATGAAGAAATAAATATGTCTATGTGTATGGGTTTATGTAGTCTGTGTTTATAAATAATATTTCCAAAGACTTAGTATTAAGAAAATACTTTTTAAAAATTACCTGAACAAGAACTAAAATAAAACGTTATAGTCTTCAATAGATGTTGTATCACAGCCATAGAATCAGAAGTGGCTGAGGATTTAAATTTATTTACTCCTAGTGTGACTATCCACATTTGCCTGAAATAGTCCCAGGTTTTCATCTCAGTATGATCTTTAAGAACACCCTTTGCTCTCAAAATTATTTTAATTTGATCAACAAATTACATAATTACCTTGCTTGTCATGAAGTGAATTCTTGGGTTCTGGTTCTGGGTTACTGTCTTAGTTAATTCAGGATGCTATAACAAACATACCATAAACTAGGTGGCTTATAAACTAAAGAAATGTATTTTTCCCAGCTCCTGAGACTGAGAAGTCCAAGATCAAGATGCTGGCAGATTTGCTGTCTAGTGAAGAACTGCTCACTGGTTCACAGATGGCACCCGCTAGCTGTGTCCTCACATGGTAGAAGGGGCAAATGAGCTCCCTTGGGCCTCTCTCATAAGGGCACCAATCTCATTCCTGAAGGCTCCATCCTCATGAACTAATCACCTCCCAAAAAGCCTCACTTCTTAATACCATCACCCTAGAGGCTAGGATTTCAATATATAAATTTGAGAAGGAACACAAACACTTGGACCATAGCAGTCACTCCATGAAATGTGTGCTGCCCCATGACAGACGTCTATTCTAGGGTTCCAAATTTAGATATTTATTTTCTCTCCACCTATATATGAAGACTGTAGATATAATACTAATCTATTGAAATATAAAAGCGCTGAAATTTTGCAGCATCTTGTTGAGCTTAGGGAAAAATTACCAGATAGGATAAATATCAAATGTGATACATTCCATCTTGAAATATTTAAATTCCAAAACAGGACATTACATTATACATAGGTCCCCAATTGCAATTTGACAGTCTGAGCTTCATATTTTTATCCCACAATTATATTCAGTGATTCACTGCACTTTAGCAGTTGGAGTGTTCCCTACTAAAGCTGGCCCCAATTCAAAATTTAGTTAAGTTGCTCAGGGCAGAGATGTAAATGACCTACCAGGCTATTAAGTCCAAACCTTACAAGGTTGTTCTCAGAATAATGAACACTGCAAAAAACTTTAAGAATAGGTTGCCTTTTGTAAAATCTGGATACAATCCAAGAAGAGTATTCATTGCTTAATTAATAGGCAATAAGATAAATTAATTTGATGTAAATAATTATTAAATATTAATGAATAAGCTAATGTATACAGCCAAATCCATTTTATGATAAAACCTCCCTAAATAGTATTTCAAATCAATAAGGTATGCCTTCCTTATGCTAGCAAAATAACGTAGAAAATGTAGATTGAAGCTATTATCCATCTCAACTTTTCTACTTTGAAGCTTCTGTCCCAACAGAAAAATCAATTTCAGAATATAATAGATAAACCCAGGTGCAGATATTACTGCAGATATTATTGGTTATTATTCGTTCTTTTTCTTTGACTCCTAGTGAAAGTTGCTTATTACAAATTCTGTCTGGAATTATTTTAAGCTTTTTGCTAATAAAAGTACATACTAACAGAACAAATTATTCAGAGGTAATTGCAATGCATTATTTAAAGGCCTTAAAACACCTGTCTTCTTTATTTTAAGGAGTTTTACTAAAACACCATTGTAAATATTCTTACTCCTAAATGGATGTGTTGTAGGGGGTCTGACTATTGTCAAAGAGGGACCTTGTGAAAAATTAAAGAGTCCTGTGAACCCCCAAGTGTATTCACACAAGACTCTTTCCGTAAGAGATTATGCTGATGGCCCGCACTGGGTCTTTATTCCCCAAATGTGTCTAATTAAAAATTTAATGGTACCATTGAAAAAAGGTGAGGGGTAGGAATCTCCAGAGCATCTCAGCCCTCAGTTGACACAGATGGGTCAGACCAAGAGATTCCAGACCTGGAGCAAGACATGCCTACTGGATGGGCACAGGCCCTTGAAGAACCCAACTGCAGGGCACAAGAAGCAGCGGAGGAGAGGCAAGCCTGTCAGGGGGCTGAAGTGAGAAACCTAGGAGTGGACTAAACAATTCTTTCCATCATTCATCCATTTATCTATCTATTGCAAATATCTATTGCAAATCCATAATATGGTAGGCACTATGTTAGGTATAGTAGTGAGTAAAACAAACACAGTCCCTGTCCTCAAGGAATTTGCAGTCCAGGAAAAACAACACACATTAATTAAGTAATCCCACCAAGGTTTGTATAAACGTGAAATGAGAGAGGATCTCTGAAGGAAAAGGATCTAATTAAGTGACCAAAACAAAAAACAAAACAAAACAAAACAAAACCCTGGCCTAGACAAGGGGGCAGGAAGTAGAATAAGTAAAGCCTGATCAATCAGACCTGGAGGTTCATAAAAAGATAACTAAGCACACAGTGGTGGAACAGAGGATGCCAGCAGGAATTACACTCCAGCCAGAAGGAATAGCATGTGCAAAGGTCCTGTGGCAGGGTGGGGCGGGGGGAGCATGATGTATTCACAAATTGACTATGTGGCTGGACTACAGAAAGCATGAGGAAGCACAGTTGGCCTGGAGAGAGAACTGGGCATCAGGAGATGTGAAGAGTGTGGTCTTTCCCAGAAAGTGGAAAAGGAGTAGAAATCTAGGAGCTGCTACCTCTGTTGGGAAATGGGAGGATGTTTTCCGGGAAGCCACAGTTAAATTTTGGTTCCTGTATGCTAACTGGCAAATTCATCACAACTTAGACATTCGTTTCTATGGAAACAAATGAGAAACAAATTATGACCAAGTTCTGGTGCTATATGTCCACTTTAAGCAATATTGCTTGCTACAGCCATGTAGTAGAGAGCCAGCACAGAATAGTCTTCAAAATCAGAGAAAGCAGGTCCAAATCTTGCCTCTGCCACTTCCCTCCTGTGTGACCTTGATTAGTTCAACTAATTTGTCTGGGCTTCTGTTTTCATCAGTTTCACATGGAGCAATGTTATGATTTAGCTCACAGAATTAAATCATCTTATTTAAGTAAAATGCTTATAAGAGTGCTGGGTGCATAGTAAGCATGCAATAAACACTAGTCATCGTTGTACTAGGCCAATGCACTCATCCACCCCCGTTGCTAGGAGAGTGAGCTGCAAAAAGCTCACAGCTGCACCTCTCCAAAAATAATGTCTTAAGGGATGGGAGAAAGCTCACCCAAGAAATGCTGCCTCCTGAGCCAGTTTGAACTGATATGGAATACAGAAGCCTGCCTCACTCTGAAGGGTAAAAATTCTGTGGTCCTAATCACACTCTAGAACTACCTGGAGGACGAAGCTGAGACCCCATTTTTACTTGGCTTCTTCCCCTGTCCTAGGCTGCTTCCCTGACAGTTTCCTCCCAGGGCACTCTCAATAAATCGCCTATACAAGAATCCTTTCCTTTGCTTCTTGGGACCTGAACCGAGACAGTTATCATAATTCATGTGTTAATCTACCCTTTCTCTGAAGCTTCTCTGAAGCTTTTAGTAGCTTCACAGACTAAAAGCTTGGCTCAGTTGACTTAAAAAAAAAATAGGTCTTGGCTATCTGAAGGTTCCACACTCAGTGCTCAATTAGCACTTTTTACAGATTTCTATTGTTTGTGTATTTATTGGTTTACCTGTCTGACAAGAAGCCCCACCAGACTACGAACTTCACAAGAGTAAGTGCTGTATGTTAGTTTTTACCCCACCAGATATAGCACACGGTCTCATATGATAACCCAGCAATTCAATTTAATTCACTTAATTAAAGTGTAGAGTTGTACAATAAACAGATTATGACATTACAATCAGAAGCAAATCTCTTATGGAACAGAGAATCTGAGTGCACTTTCACTTAAAAAATTAACCCACCCTGACCCAAATGACACTTTACCTATTGCAAGCTGCTGGCGCATCTGTTCACTTACACACAGTTTATGAATGCTGCCTTCCAGTTGTTGCTGCCTCATTCCTATACAACTTTATAACAGTTTTTAAAATCTGATTCTGTAACATGTTAGGAAATAAATCAGGCAAGAAACTGACAATCAAAATCCTTTTGGGGTTTGAGGAAAATGACTCAGCATGCAAAACTCTCCACAGAAGTTTACTGTATCCTTAAAATTTAGCTTAAAACACTGCTACCTACAATGCACTCATATTCATCACATTAATAGATTTGACACTGAGGCCTAACAAAAGCAAAAATATTCAGAAGGTAGTTTGGGAACAAACATTATTTCACAATACATTATTTCACAATGTAGGTCCAATAAAGATGAATGGGACATTTTAAATAAAGAGATATTTGCAAATGAAGTAATTGCTTGATGGAGTCCTATACCTGATGAAATGACTAGAGGAAAAATCTGAACTTGAAGAAATTCACAAACCAGGCAGTTAGCTCCGAGATGATTTGGAATGCACTGCATATGCATGGCCTTATTTACATACAGCATTCTACCAGCTGCAAATACAAGATGTGGATCTATAATATGTACCCATCTACTGTATCCACATATACAATATCTGATGTAATGAAATGGAAACTTCTGATTCCTTCACTGTCATAATCAACACATTTATATTCATGCTTCTTCTTTTTATTCATCCCAAGTGCTAAGTCACCAGGAGGTACTAGGCAATACTTTTAATATCCTAAGTCTTGTTTTTCCCTGTAAAATGGAGATAAAGCCCATTTCGTTATCAAGTCTAAATATCCTGCTGATCAGCAATAAAAAAGAGAAAAATATGCCAAATTGAACATTTTTCTTTTTTAATTTCAAGAATCAGATAAAAAATGAGCAGCACCTTGGATGTCAAAAATAGGCTAGCAAGAATGCATGTTGAAAGTTGATTTGACCAGATAATTTAAATTGGAATGTCTAATTCGCAAAATATGAATTTAAAGAAATAAACATGGTCACATTTTTCTTTCTGAGAAACAAAAAACAGCATATGCTACAACTTTGTTTTCAACAAATAAGGGAATAGTGTCTCATATGTGTATGTGTAAATATCACTATTTACACATATACACATATTGAGGGTAACATAGAATATATAGGAATTTGTTTTAGAGAGAGTTTACAGGACAAATGTCAGTGGATAATTTTAAGCACAATGTCAACAGTGCTCTATTTTTCTTCCTGCTAAAAATGTCATAATGAAACAGTGAAAATCACTTTTTCTCCCTAATTAAAGGCCACATGCTGCCTCTGTAGTAATCACAGATCTCATTAGTGCCCACTGAGAGTTAT
This sequence comes from Homo sapiens, assembly GCF_000001405.40. NCBI lineage: Eukaryota > Metazoa > Chordata > Mammalia > Primates > Hominidae > Homo > Homo sapiens. The sequence goes on along the minus strand of NC_000005.10, from coordinate 97,553,016 downwards.
GGTATCACTCACATTAAACAGACACTTTATATCAATAATCCCATGTGTTTCATGTGTTTGCATCTTTTGGTTGTTGCAAATAAATTCATTGATTGAAATCTGATTTGTAGAAATTTGTGTTAGCATTTGGAATGTGAAATCATTTTTTTTTTCCCTGAGAGATGTGGGATAGGGACAGGATAAAATGTGTATTAGGCAATGATGAGCTTCAGTAAGATAATAATACATGTCTTATTTTTGATATGTGATTTAATACCTTTTCTATAGACAATTCACCACAAGAAACTCAGTGTGATGTTAACGCATTTACAGATCTGATGCTGTATCTGTACTATCCTTTCTCCATTAATAATCACCCCATCCCATAAAAGAGAAGATAATCAAAGATTTAAAAAAAAAAAAGCACATATTGATCACCTGTTCTGTACCTGGCAGTTAAGTTGTTAATTTTATGTCATACTTATGCTAGCAAAGTTAAGTGGAGAGTGGCAGCCATCGTCCACAGGAGTCATATTTTAAATAATTTGCCCAAATTTTAATCCACTGTCTTTTTTCTTCTTAGAGATGAGCTCTCTTTATGTTACTCAGGCTGGAGTGCAGTGGCTATTCACAGGTGAGATCCTGGTGCACTACAGCCTGGAACCCCTGCACTCAAGTGATCCTCCTGCCTCAGCGTCCCATCTCAAACTCTCTTTGGGTGCTAATGAGATCTGGGACTCAGGGGCACTCATCCACACCTGGCTTGTCCACTGTCTTAAGCAAATATACTCCAATACACACATTTTAACCTGAAGATTCTCAGAAGCACATTCTGAACATATTTTAAATGCCTTTTAGAGTAAATGGAATGATAAATTCATGTATCAGACTTTTACATTAAACTGTAAGCCCCTAGAAGGTAGGAATTGCATCTTACTCAATTTAGCATTTTTGAAAGTATTTATCACTATGGTTTTCTTTCCTTTACATTGAGTGAATAAATGCTATATATGGTAATTGCTAAATAAATATTTATTGAAGTAAAGAATATTTTACCGTATGTGGCAAACAGACGCTAGAGTGACCTCCAATGATTCCCATCTCTTGTTCATACCTTTGTGTCCAATCCCCTCCCACTGAGTGCAAATAGGACCTGTGACCTGCGAGTTGCTTTTTTTGTTGTTGTTTTCTTTTTTTCTTTTTTGGAGACGAAGTCTCAGTTCCACTCTGTGGCCCAGGCTGGAGTGCAGTGGCATGATCTCAGCTCACTGCCACCTCTCAGGCTCAAGTGATTCTCCTGCTTCAGCCTCCAGAGTAGCTGGGATTACAGGCGTATGCCACCACCCCCAGCTAATTTTTGTATTTTTATTAGAGACAGGGTTTCACCATGTTGGCCAGGTTGGTCTCAAACTCCTGACCTCAAGTGATCTGCCTGCCTCAGCCTCCCAAAGTGCTGGAATTATAGGCATCAGCCACCGTGTCCAGCCTGCTCCTAATCAATAGAATATGGCAAAGGTGACGACATGTCACTCCCATGAGTAGTTTATATTTTATAAGACTCTGTCTTAACAGTCTGAAGGGAGAGACTCTCCTTGCTGATATGATGAGTTAAACAGCTGTATTGGAGAAATCCATACAACAAGGAACCATGGGCAGCCTATAGGACCTGGGTGGACTCCAGCTCTCAGTCAGCAAAATGCCAGCCTGCTTCATATGTGGCCACCAAACATATATTTTAGGAATGTAAAAAACAGCTTAAGACTTAACAAAATATCTTGCTGTACAGCAAAATTATTCTTGACATTTCTTTAAAAATAAAATAGTGAATCACAGACTTTTTAGAATTTAGGGTCCAGAGGTTGCAAACACATGCTCCCAAAGACCAGACAAGAAATATAAACAATCAAAGCAGTCCAGGATTAGAAAAGCATAGTAGAGCAAGCGCTGTATAAATGGCAATTGCCATTCATTCTCATTGTTAGGGACGTGATAGAAACTGCAAGACTGTGGCAAGGTAGAGAGCATAAGCCTCACCTAAACACTGCAGCTACTTCCTGCCTTCAAATGATCATTGCTCCCACTATCACTAGATCTTTTATCATTCATTTTGAAAAAATAAAAAACATGAATTATTATGGGGAAAAATCACCTGCTGTCTAACATTGAAAAACTAATTATTATAAGGTGTTCAGTCCTGACTTGGTCATGAAGGGCTAGTCACATAAGACACGCACTCTGATTTGACTCAAGCCCTCATGTTAGAGCTGAGGAAATAAAGATTCAATAAGGGTAAGTTACCTGTAAAAGGCCCTACAATTAGGAAATAGAAGACTTGGTAATTATAAATCCAGTTCATGCACCTGGAAACTATAATAAGTCATTAGAAATTAAGAATTCACAGGCAATCCTTTTTGAGTATAAATTATTAATCCGTGGCAATTGACTAAAACAAGGTACAGAGAGTTTTTTCATGGAAATGGCATGCTTGTGGGTTTAAAGAAGCCTCATTTGTTTATTTGGACGTTCAAAAGACAAAAGCAAAATAAATGCAAAATTCATTCAGTGTAAGTATGACAAATAACTATTTACCAGTCACATGCAATGCTAACAGTGCTTTAAATATTCATATGCTTCAGAGTGAGGCTGTCAGCTTTATCCTTTGTCTGAGTCACACTGCCTTCCACTAACAGAGAGTGAATGTCAAACCACAGCTGGGCTTCTTGGGATACAGGCAATTAAGGGATTCACAATAGAGGTGTTTCTCCTCTAGGTTCTCAGGAGTGATGGAGCAAAAGAAATCCAGCATCCCATCTTCCTGTGCAGAGCCACCCAACCTTTCACTCAGCTGTAGTTTTGGTCTTTCACTCAGCTGTTTCTGTGGTTTATGACTTAGTGGCATATAACTCAGATTTCAGATCTGATCATTTCAGTAATAATTGGCCAGATGTGAAAGTGTGGATAATCAATAGTATTATTGTATCCTGGGTGGTCAACAGGTAACAGGTACACAAATTCATATGATTTACAACTCAGGCAAACTGGCAGATACACTCAGGGTGCCTAATAGTGTAGATTTTTAAAAAGGAAGAAATATCAGTAGCAGTTTTTTTCTTAGGAAGATCCAATGGATTTTTAGATTTGCATTATATCACTGTGCTTATTCAACATACTATTAAGAACACTCAAAATTTAGCTGAGCCATTATTTATACCAATTAAAAGAGGAGCAAAATAGCCTAAATTTGTAACTGAAAAAGATTTGAATTTGGCTTTGGGGAACATTAAGGAATTTTTCCCTCATCATGTTTACTAAATACCTGTTGTAGGGATGACTCACTAAGTAGCTCTAGAGGGAAAGAAAAGGCATTGGGAAAGTAGCCAAATGTATCTTAATTTGATAGATTGAATCCCTGCCATTCATTTTTAAAAGATTGGTTACGGACTCGTCCTTTGAAGAAACCCTCTGTTTCATCCACGTTTCTGGCTCCTAACAGAGAATCCTCCCTGCGCTTCCCCCTCACCAAAAGAAAACAATTTGGAAAAATTATCTTCCTTTTCATATTATAAAGTTTATTAAAGTAGTGTGTACCTGGGCTCAAAACAAACAAACGAAAAACAACTTAGTACAGAAAGGTTTATTTTGAAAAGCAATTAATAACTATTTGTAACATTTTTTCTGTCCCCTATTTGTTCTGGCAAAAGAGAAACGCTTTAATTCTGCTAATTGTTCCCGTTTCAGTTGTAATGTTGATAATCTTTAAATTTTAAAAGAAAATCTTATGCATTATTTCCAGATTTATTAACTGTCATATATCATTTATTGACTTTTTGCTATGATAAATGAGGATAAAACTGACTCTCTAGAAGCACTACCCTGGTTCATAATTGAGTAGGAGTGGTCAATCCTCATTCTATTTTTCAAAACTAAGAAAAAAAAGTTAAACTAGTAGCATGCTTTTCTTCACAGGATGTCTTTTAAATCATTGCCAAGGACACTGCTACTTTAGGCATCAGTGAACTGGAATTCTATAGAGGTATTAGAATGTTGAAACCAAAGAATATGATTGAAGATATGGGTTGGTGAGTCAATTACAACTATAATCTTCTGCTCCCTTCTGTTTCTCCTACCTTGAACCCCAAGCAACCTTCTCCAGGAAATCTTTTAATGATTCTCTTATCTATCACTTTCAATGATGCATTTTACTCATAGACTTTCATGATATCTATAGTTTCTTGACTTCTTACTTTCTCATTTGAGTTTCAGCTTCACTCTTGTCTCCTAAATGAAGCTAAACACTTCTAATCATTCTCCTTAAGGGTTAACTTGCCCCTGCCTCATTACAGAACTATTTAGTTACCAAGAACCAAATTACTGTCTTTCTACTATAACCTCATGTCATTTCTATCCACACATTTAGAATTGATGTGGTGGAAAGCACTATCCACCAGGAACCCACAAGCTGACTTCCACTTCTTGATTTGAATGTGTGGCTTGGGACACATCTAGAAAAACAAAGGGATGAAGTAAATGAACCCTCAGCTCTGACCATCTGCCTACTTGGTGCAGGCACAGTGGTTAGCCTCCTTTGGCTTTCCAAAGGGCCGACACTTTGTCAATATGCACCACTATGGCCACACTAGTTGTTAAGGGCAACTTCTGTTCTGATTGGTCAGTACCCAGTCAGAATAATCTATTCTCCCAACCAATATTTATTGGGTTCCTACCAGCAGCAAGGTATCTACTAGACCCTGAATATTTATTGGATAAAATATATATTCTAAGTCAAAGTGTCTCTGCTAGTAATGTAATGTGTGACTTTGGCCCAACCACTTAACATGCCTGGGTTTCAGTTTCCTCATTTGCAAAACAGGAAATGTTCAAAGTCTGTTTTTCTCAAGTGATTTATGAGTCAGTAATGATTACACTCAAATTGGTAGAATTCACTTTTTAAAGTTACAAGTAAAGGAAATAGGTCATATTTTTACAAAAGCAATATGTTAGTTTTTAATTATAAAGAAAAGTAAAGCCAATTACCAGGGGAAAAATCAGTGCAGCCATTTTCTCCCTGAATAAATGTCTAATTATCTACAACATCTCATTTTCCAGTTTCTAGCCATATTTATATATTCAGTTGTTATTGGAATTTTCACCTTGAGAAGATATCCTGATTTGACAGAGCAAAATATAAAATATGATCTTGAAGATAAATAAATCCATTGAACTCTGCCAACCACAATCCCACTCTGTTCAAAGCTGCAGTCGGGTTCTAATTCCTCAGCAAAGAGATGAGCCTGTGCTCTGTGCCAGGCTGTGTGAACCATGTGACACAACAAAATGTGTAAGAAATTATCTCCACCTTCAAATAGTTTAAGATGCAGTAATGTGACAAGCACAAAACGTAACATGACTGTAAACAGACATGGCCTGGTGAGTCCCTAACATGTCATGACATTTCAAGAGCAAGCACTGTGTGGTTTCACAGAAAAGGGCTGCCAAAGAAGATGGGATGTAAATCTCACTGATTAAAAAAAATCAGTAGCTAACACACACAGAGACACAACATATATGCATAACACCTATGCAGATGTGTTTATGTGTGTGTGTATATATAGTGAGAGTGAAAAATGAGAACCCATTCTTATCATTAGATTTAAAGAGAACACATACATGAAGTACTTAGAACAACGCTTAGCATATAGTAAGGGCCCTAAAAGGATGAGCTGTTAGGTCATAGGAACACTGACATTTGAGAAGGCCAGAACACCCATGAGAGTCACAAATGATCACTGAACATCCTTCACACCCCCAAGCCCCAAATTTCTGACCCCTCTCTCCTGACAGGTTTGCCAGCAGAACCCAACTAGATGGACCGGTTCCTCTGGAACCTGTGGTGGGCATGCCACCCAGGTAGGCCAATCAAAGGGCCTCATCTGCTTGGCTATTTTGGTTGATCTACCAAGAGGCACGTAACACTGGTGGCATCAGATTTCTTATCTGGATTTTTCTCAAACCTGCCACTGCCCTATTCCTGCCAACCATGCAAAAATACCAATTTATTCCATGGAAAGAGAAAAAAGATTAACTAGGAGGAGAGATCTCATTACCTGACAGGAGATAATGTCTTTGAAAAAATTAAACAAGCACCAGAGAACAGAATAACTAGGGATTTGTAGCCTTTAAAATATTTTAGCCTCTAGAGATACCTATAATTGTGCTTTTAGCATGAAATCTATGAAATAAATTTTGAGATTTATGGATATTTATTTTTCCTATGAAAATTTTCTTGGAATCATAATGGTGTAGTTTCTGCACTATGTCTTTTAAAAGCTAGTTGCAGGTGGGATCTCTCTCTCATTATGTGAAAGGCTAGCATTTGCTCAATTTAAATGTGTGTATTCTTTGCAATCTTTCCCTAACAAGTTTCTTTATAGCACATCTCTTGAAAAAGTGCAGTATTACTTGTTAGAAAATAAAACTTTTATCCTTTTTAAAAAGCATTAATATATGAAGTTAATAATCTTGATTGTAAAAAAGAACTTTCTGAAAGGAAATGACACTTTTACAATCTTGAGTTGATAATAGGACAAAAGAATGACTTCATGTATAAGAAAGACAGAGAGAGAAGTGTTCGAATGTTCTACAGAACAAAGACCTCAGAAATACAAATCTCAAAGCCATTCAAGAAATAATTAAGCAAGTTACACATGAATATGCTGTGCTATGAAAATGCTGAATTAAATATCTGTAGTGTATCCCCACCCAACTGCAGGTAAAGACTGCTACTTCCTTTTCTAAAGAAGTATCCTCTATAAGAAAGCTTTCAGCCAACAGTAATAGTCCTTTGTGTAACTGCAGATGTTCAGCAATAGGCATTATTGAGTCGGCAGGGAAGCTGCTCACCAGATTTTAGAAGGAGATGACTATTATAATAAAAATCTGTCAGTCCTGCAGTCACAATTTCAATTCAGCCCTGACCCATAAGCAGGAAATCCATCTGCAGTGTCTCAGTTCCCCTCTGGCTTATCTTCAGCCTTGGATGCTTTTGCATACTCTCCTCTGCTGCTTCCATTAACCAATTAGGTGCTGAGGCAGAAGCAATCTTAACCTTGACAGCCCCTTTATACTTGGTCTCTATTTTTCACTGCTTTGTGGCACAGTCACACTGGCATTCTATGTTATTAATAATGTATATTTTATTAGGTGATTTTTATTAGCAATTATCTGTCATTTGATAAGCCTATTTATTAGCTTTTGCAGCCATGTAACTAACCCAAGCAGGACTTTCAGAGGAGAAAATAAAGACAAAGGAAGACAAAGGCACTAAAAGAATGAAAGATAGATATGGGAGTACACTCTTGAATTAGGAGTTTGCTGACTAGACTAAAAAAAAAAAAAAAAAAAAAAGCATATTGAAAGATTGTGGGCAGACTTACTCTTATAGGATGGGACCTTGCTGTTGTAGGGTACTGCTATAGGGATTACTGATGAGATTGATTCAGAAGTGAGAATATCAAAAGTGAGCTGAAGAAACCAGTAGTAATCAACAGCTAGCTACCAGGAAAAAAACAAAACATCTAAATCCTACTTTCAAGACTTTACAGGTACTTTTCAGCCCTCATCAGTTAAAACTCTGTGCCCTAGTCTCCAGGGAAAAGCAAGGATAATGATGTTTATAATGTTCTAAGTCCTCATCAAAACACAGTCAGATGGCTTTGTACTGAATGCCTTTCAGCCTGTGAAAATCTGGGGAGCTGGCCTGAGGCTTTATCGCTAAATCTGAGAAGGTGCTGCTTTTCCATATTTCCCTCCCAGCATCTCTGAATTTGTAAAAGTCACCCACCCTCCGTTTCTCCATCTGCACATCAGAGGAATCACAGTATCCACCAACCTAATTTGTGGGGATATATGAGTTTCTAATGAGACAATATTTATATAGAACTTTGAGCTTCTAGGGGGATCTGCTCTATAAATACTAACTATTCTCAGGGTAATATTAGCACAGTTAATTGGATAAAATGTGGGCATTTATAGTTAGATAACAAGAAAAATAGTCCTTCAGCAAAAGAGAAAATGGCTGCTGGGGGATTACCCCTGGAATTATTCATCTGTCCTCCTTCTCCTGTTTCTGTTTAGTATGAATGGCGAGAGTGGGGAGTGTGGAAAAACAGATGCGACTCAGAGGTGAGACACTAGACCGCGGGAGCACATTTACATCTGGGTGTGTATTTGGGATTTGACCTCTCAACAAAGAAAAGGACACATGAGGCTTCTTGTTTAGATTTAAAATATAAACAAATAAACACGGAGGGAGAAACACTTAGTGGTGTGGCTCTTTCACTTTTTGAATTAAATTATGTTTTCTTAAGGAGACATGCTGTATGTTAAAGGCAGAAATGGAGAGTGGGAAAAGGAAGAAAATAAAGGGACAGGTAAACCATGTGCACAACAAAGAAAAGCAAAAGTTAGTGGTTTATAGCAGTAAGTAACGCCTACTCAACACTTGACAGTTAATCAACATGCTGATTTCATTTATTCCACGAAACGATCTTGGAAGTGAGTGTTATTAGATCACCCTCTGTCTCAGCTCTGGCTGCAATAACAAAGTACCAAAGATTGGGTGGCTTAAACAACAGAAATGTATTTCCTCACAGTTGTAAAGGCTGAAAGTCCAAGATCAAGGTGTCAATAGGGTTAATCTTTTTTCTGAGGTTTTTCTCCTGGGTGTATAGATTTATGTCTTTTTCCTCTGTCTTCACATGGTCTTCCCTCTGTGACTATGTGTGTCCTAATCTCCTCTTCATATAAGGAAACCAGTCATATTGGAGTAGGTCCCACCTTAACAACCCCACTTAATCTTAATTATATTTTTAAAGCCCCTATCCCCAAAAACAGCAACATTGTGAGGTACTAGGGATTAGGTCTTCAACATAGGAATTTGGGATGGTAGAGAGGACATAGTCCATAACATCCCCACTTTATAGACAAAGAAAATGAAAGCAAAGAAGGGTACGTGATTGTTTTAAAGGCCCACCAGACCCCTTAACTCAAGTATCTGGTGGCTTGGGCTCAAGTTCTAAGTTCTGTGTCCAGAGTCTTCACTCTCGTGGGATGGAAGAGCTACAAGGGTCTGGTGTACGAGAGAGGCCAAAGTCAGAAATGCCTTTGCACATCTTCAGAAGACAAACTAATTCAACTGAAGCCACTCGTAAGAAAAAAAGACCAAGTTAAGGAAAGAAGTGTTAGTTACATATTACTATTTGCCATTCACAAATATCCCCAAACAACTAAAAAGAGGCAAAAAGAAACTTCAAAAGTACCAGAATTGATCAGAAATTACCTCCCCTCATGGAAATAGATATCTGATAATGTAGCTCCTTGATTACAAACTATCTCTAGTTTATGAAGTTTGTCATAGGCTTGTAAGAATATTGTGGGGATAGCATGGGGAGAAACAAATTAATTGGAGATATTTAGGGTAGATTTTTATTATTCTTACTTTGTCACACACACGTACAATTGAGAGTTACTTCTTACAGTTCTGTTTCCAACTTCATGCCTATTTGAGAGTTTCATTATGTTTCCATGTTTTATTAAATATTTTGACTCCAGGAAGTATATTTTTCCATCTGTTTTTTTGACCGTTCCCAACACTAGGCTTACGAAGGTATCTACTGGGAGGGTCCAAACATCTGGATGGAGTTTATCAGCCAAATGTCTCAGGAGAAAAGAACATAAATGTCCAGAAAGAGTGAGTAGGCAAGGAGCCCGTGTCAGTTTTAACAGCAGTTAGTTGTATCTCACTTTCCCAAAATGTGTTCTTTACTCCTTTTGCCAAATGATCCCTCCTTCCTTTTTATTTCAAAATTTCTCCCTCTGTATGCATTTTGCAATTAATCTACATCATTTTTTTTTCTTTTTTTTTAAATCCTAGAAAAGAGAAACATATCCATCATTTATGCCAGAAAGCCAAAGCAGTTATTATCGGACCAGTCTCAACTCTGAACTGAACCACTTACCAAGTCACCAAACCTTACTTCTTCATCTGTAACTTTCAAATACTGTAATAACACCTATGGGGACAGTTTTACGAACGTGCTACCTGTGCAATCAGACATGACCCCACTCTTAGAAGAGCTCCATGCTTGGTTTAATGTCTGCTGTTATGGTCTTGAAATTCTTAATCATATTTGAACAAGGAATCTTGCATTTTCATTTTGCACTAGATCTCACAAATGATGTAGCCAGTCCTGCATACCTGCTCTACCTACCCTTCAAAGCCTAAAAAAAACTGCTTTGTAAACAAAAAAAAAGTGCTCTAAAAGTATAGGTGAAGCCAAAGTTCATTTTCACTATATGAGCATGGCATACTAAGGAAGTACATACAAATCAGACCAGCTAGGAAGAAAAACCATGGGGCAGGAGTCAGACTTGGCATCTAGCCTTGGTCCTTTCACTGTTGGGTTGGCTTGGGCAAAGCATTTCATCTCTTCATACCCCAGTTACTTCACCTGAATAATTACAATTTTCAGTTCTCTTCCCCGATGCACATTAGTACCATGTAGGGAGTTTTTTTAAATGTCAGTTCTTGGTCCTTCTGAGAGGTGACAGCGTCCCGACAGCCCTCACAGCCCTCGCTCGCTCTCGGCGCCTCCTCGGCCTTGGCGCCCACTCTGGCCGCCCTTGAGGAGCCCTTCAGCTCCCTGCTGAACTGTGGGAGCCCCTTCCTGGGATGACCAAGGCTGGGGCCAGCTCCCTCAGCCTGCGGGGAGGGGTGGAGGGAGAGGCATGGGTGGGAACCGGGGCTGCACATGGCGCTTGTGGGCCAGCAGGAGTTCCGGGTGGATGTGGGCTTGGTGGCCCCACACTCGGAGCAGCCGGCTGGCCCCGCCGCCCTGGGCACTGAGGGGCTTAGCACCCAGGCCAGCAGCTGTGGAGGGTGTGCCAGGTCCCCCGGCAGTGCCGGCCCACCGGCACTGCGCTGGATTTCTCCCCAGGCCTTAGCTGCCTCACCGCGGGGGCAGGGCTTGGGACCTGCAGCCCGCCATGCCTGAGCCCCACACTCCCCACCCCGTGGGCTCCTGTGCGGCCGGAGCCTCCCCAACAAGCACCACCCTGTGCTCCATGGCGCCCAGTCCCATCGACCACCCAAGGGCTGAGGAGTGCAGGCGCAAGGCGCGGAACTGGCAGGCAGCTCCACCTGCGGCCCTGGTGCAGGATCCACTGGGTGAAGCCAGCTGGGCTCCTGAGTCTGGTGGGGACGTGGAGAACCTTTATCTCTAGCTAGGGGATTGTAAATACACCAGTCAGCACTCTGTATCTAGCTCAAGGTTTGTAAACACACCAATCAGCATCCTGTGTCTAGCTCAGGGTTTGTGAATGCACCAATCGACACTCTGTATCTAGCTACTGTGGTGGGGACTTGGAGAACCTTTGTGTCCACACTCTGTATCTAGCTAATCTAGTGGGGATGTGGAGAACCTTTGTGTCTAGCTCAGGGATTGTAAGCACCAATCAGCGCCCTGTCAAAACAGACCACCGGGCTCTCTGTAAAATGGACCAATCAGCAGGATGTAGGTGGGGCCAGATAAGAGAATAAGTGCAGGCTGCTGGAGCCAGCAGTGGCAACCCGCTGGGGTCCTCTTCCACAGTGTGGAAGCTTTGTTCTTTTGCTCTTCGCAATCAATCTTGCTGCTGCTCACTCTTTGGGTCCACACTGCCTTTATGAGCTGCAACACTCACGGCGAAGCTCTGCAGCTTCACTCATGAAGCCAACGAGACCACGAACCCACCGGGAGGAATGAACAACTCCAGACGCGCTGCCTTAAGAGCTGTAACACTCACCGCGAAGGTCCGCAGCTTCACTCCTGAGCCAGCGAGACCACGACCCCACCAGAAGGAAGAAACTCCGAACACATTGGAACATCAGAAGAAACAAACTCCAGACACGCTGCCTTTAAGAACTGTAGCACTCACCACGAGGGTCCGTGGCTTCATTCTTGAAGTCAGTGAGACCAAGAACCGACCAATTCCGGACACACTTCCCCCAAAAATTATTATTTAATTGTTCTGGGGTAGAGCCTGAATGGAGCTTGAGTTTGGGTATTTTTTAAAGTTTCTAGGTAGGTAAGAATATGTAGCAATTAGAATTTGAGTGTAGATTGGTATGATCGCTTTGGAAAATAAGTAGCCGTGCACACCAAACTGAACATACACATATATCATGGTCCAATGATTCTATTCCTGAGTATACGCCCCACAAAATATTTACATATATTCACCAAAATATTTATAAAGTAATATTGATGGCAGCCCTGTTTGCAGTAGTCCCAAACTGCAGTCAACACATGTCCATTAACAGTAGAATAGGTAAATAAATGGTGGCATATTCATAAATTAGGTAGTGGACAACAATGAGAATGTTTTCCAGGAATGAACTATTGATATTTGCAGAATTTCACAAACATTGTTTTGGGCAGAAAAGGAAAAAGGCCTGACACAGAAGAACATAATACTCTATTATTCCATGTATATAAATTTCAAAAATAAGCAAAAATAATTTATAGTATTTAGTCAGGACAACAGTTACTTCTGTGGGGAAGATAATGACGAGGAAAAATATGGGGGCTTCTGTGGCTAGAAATGTTCTATTTCTCAATCTGATGGTAGTTACAGGGGCATATTTACCTCGTGAAAATTATTAAGTTGGTGCAAAAGAAATTGTGGTTTTTAATAATTGATATGGTTTGGCTGTGTCCCCACCCAAATCTCATCCTGAATTGTAGCTCCCATAATTCCCATGTGTTGTGGGAGGCACCCACAAGGTAACCGAATCACGGAGCCAGGTCTTTCCTGTGCTATTCTCATGATAGTGAATAAATCTCATGAGATCTGATGGTTTTATAAAGAGGAGCTCCCCTGTATATGCTCTCTCTTGCCTGCCGGCATGCAAGATGTGACTTCGCTCCTCCTTTGCCTTCTACCATGGCTGTGAGGCCTCTCCAGCCATGTGGAACTGTGAGTCCATTAAACCTCTTTCCTTTATAAATTACCCAGTCTTGGGTATATTGTTATTAGCAGTGTGAGAACAGACTAATACAATGATTGAGCCGTACACTCATGGTGTGTACCTGTTGTATTTCAATAACCAGTTAATACCCACATTTCTTACACAATTTTAATATGCAACCAGGGTTGAGAATCAGACTAGATATCTGTAATGTCCCTTATAGGATGGAACATCTGTGTTTGACTTTTCTCAGACCTTAGTCCCTGTTAAGGTTGAGTAAGGACACTAATGCCCTTCATGGTCTTTGTGCTTTATCAATACCTCCTCTTTTTCTTCTCTTTTCACAAGTTCACCTTCAACATGAAAGGGTTCCTTTATTTTCTTGTACTACATGTTGTTTAATTGGGGGGTCAAAAAGTCACTGATTGAATTATACACAAACTATTTGATCATGGAAACAAACATATCTTTTATATCCAAGTGTTTATTTTTTCATTCATCTATTACATGTTTTACAGATAATCAATGAAGAGAGGAAAGGAGGTCTTAGGGCAATAACCAGGTGCCACTAGATGTGCTGGCTTGTGCGAGCACACAGTCATGAGACAGCAGAGTGAGGACGCTCCAGCACTTCATACGTGCTGGGGACTGCTTGTCTCTCTGCACCGTAAGCAGTCAAATGCTCTACCACTGAACTCTAACCCCAGTCTCTGCACCTTGTGGCCACAGGTAACATGCAGTCTATTTACTCTCTGATAGAAAAGAGCATGTTGAAGAACTCTCTTCTCAAAACCAGCAAAAACACCTAACAGAATGTAGGGCTGAGTGTATCAACAAAGACAATGCTCTGTGGCTTTGAACACTCAGTCTAAATGTGCAAATCAGGAAATGGCTGCATCACACCCTGTCAGCCCTCCATGCCTTAGACAATAGAGTCTAAGTGATGCCTGTGAATAAGGTCGTGAACACAAAGCCTCCAACAGTGCAGATGGCGCTCAAGACTGAAGAGTAACCAACTGAACTGCTTGTACTCCTTCAAGAGACCCAATTCTACAGCCTCATTGAGATTCACAGACTGAGGAGCAGTTTGGAGCAATTCATGACCACAGTGAAAGTTTTATGTGTTTTCTGTAAGGTATTTTTTGTTATATAGATTCATAGGCATGGAAATAAGAAAGAAGGCTTGTGGGTGATTAAATTTTTACACTTTACTCTGTGTAGTAGCAGAGACTATATCTACACTTCAAGGAAAAGGAAATAATTGCCTCAAAGTCAGTTGTGTTTAGAGACCACTCCTTCCAGGGGAAAGGAAAACCATTTTTCTATATCCAAGTTGCTAAGATTGAACTGAGAGTGTAAGGAGTGTGATAAGAATCTTTAGAAACACCACTCTTTAAATCAACCAGGCTGAAATCCCAAAACATAATAAGATTTCTTGGAGAAGCTGTGTGAAAAGTTTGTAAATTTTGCATACCTTTCCAATAAAATGAGGTTCCTTATCTCCTGAGTTTCAATTTTTATAATAAAAATGCACACAGATTAAAGGTAAGCTCTTTCTCTCTCTCCCTCTCTCTGTCTGAAAACATGTATATTAAAACGCAAATATAAGAAGTCTCAAAAAAAATTACTACAAAATGATTTTTTAAAATTCTCAATGTGGCTCAATTTTTAAAATTAAAATTAGGACCTTAATAATTGACTAAACATTATATAGAAATTATTAATTTGCAGTGGAGATCAGTATTAGGGAACATCCATTCCGCTGATTGAAATTATTTTTTATATTCAAATTTAATGAGTATCAGTGAACCATGTTGCTATTTTTTGTGGTTATTTACTGAACACCTACTGTTTATAAAAGACTGCCCTTGGACAATGAGAGTTAGAAAGAAATACAGGCAAGGCTCTTGCCTTCAAAGCACTTAGAAGCTCTAATGGGTAAGATAGCAAAGGAGTAACATGATACATGTAATGAATACTATAACAGGTCAGATTCAGAGGGACTCTAAGCTTAGGCAGTTAGGGACAGATTTC
Source organism: Homo sapiens (assembly GCF_000001405.40). NCBI lineage: Eukaryota > Metazoa > Chordata > Mammalia > Primates > Hominidae > Homo > Homo sapiens. The sequence goes on along the minus strand of NC_000005.10, from coordinate 97,537,997 downwards.
TCAACTGGACTTAAAGGGTGGACAACTCAAGTAATTGAAGCATCTTCCAGAGAGAGGGAACAGCATGAATAATGCCATAAAATAATGCACTCCAAAATGTGGTGCATAAGCAATCTGCAGCACAATCACCTTAAGAAAATGAAATCGCAGCCGGTTCAATGGCTCATGCCTATTATTCCCAACAATTTGCGAGGCCAAAGCAGGAGTACTGCTTGAGAACAGGAGTTCAAGAGCAGCCTGAACAACATAGGGAAACCCTGTCTCAACAAAAAATAAAAATAAAAATAAAAAATTAGCCAGGCATGGTGGCATGTGACTGTAGTCCCAGCTACTGAGGAGGCTGAGGTGGGAGGATCACTTGAACCTGAGAGGTCAAAGCAGCTGTGAGCCCTGATCACCCCAATGCACTCTATCCTGGGCAACAGAGTGAGACCCTATCTCAAAAAATATAAATAAATAAATAAATAAATAAAGAGAGAGAGAGAAACAAAATGAAAATAAAATCTCTGTTACCTACACTCCCACTTGAAGGTTCACATTCAGCAAGTCTGTTCTAGACCCCCCCAAAAAATCCGTATTTTTTATATAATAATGTATTATATATGTAATATAAAATATATATATATATTAACAGCACATCAAGCATTCACTGGCATAAAAACTAGAAAGCAAATATTATATTCAAATTAGACTAAAAAGTAAGGGAGGCCTGAGAAGGAGTTCTGAAAAGGGTGATTGGAAATAGAGTGTGTACTTCCTTGAGTATCAAAATAATGACTGTGGACTTTTTCTATAAGCAATAGAAACCCAAAGAAGTCTTTTGTGCAGAAGAGTAACAAGCTTAAAGTCATGTTTTTTGACTCAGCAATGATGTGAAGAACAGAGTAGAGTGGGCAGAGCGAGAGAGGCACAGGAAAGTAAAATGGCTCCTCCAATTGTTCAAACAGGAGGGGATAAGTTCAGATGTGGATGGAAGGTGAGGGAAGAAAGAAAAGTAAATCCCTGTTGGGAAAATGAAACCAGATTGTGATGTTCATAATCGGAAATAGAAAATTCTCAGTCTACTCCATTACCATGTTCAGAGAAAGACATAGGCAAGGCCACTGTCTGACCACAAAATGCTAAATTTACCTTTCTCTGATTCATATCATCTTTCTCTGAGTGTTTCCTGGAGTTTTTGTTTGTTTGTTTGTTTTATCAATAACTCCAGCATTTTTTAATTCTCTCACCTTTTAGATAAAAATTATTGACCTTCAATCACTGAATGTCCCTGATTCAAAAAATAGCCTTCACTTCCCTAAGCCTTCCTCAAAATCATCCATACAAACTCAAACCCAGTTAGAAGACCATCCCAAATTACCTCACTGAAACACTTGTGAGATTTTCCTAAAGTATGTTCTTTGCCACAGCAAGTTAAATAATTCTAGTTTTATTGACAACAGGTGTGTTCCTTCTGCTCTTTGGTTAGTTGGGTTCAATACGAAAAGAATGTCAACAAGGACAAATTACTAATACTGAGTAGTTGGTTGACTTAAGACAGATTAGAAATGACTTTAAAGTTTGAAGCCCAAGTGAATATAAAGTAACACTAATAGAAAAGAGATATCAGAAGTATGAGCCCATTTGCAACTTGAAGGGACATTTGAAATTGAATTTGAAAATTGAATGCAAAATTTGAAGGTACAACATGACATTCAAGAGAAAATGTCACGTGGGTAACATGTGTACAGGCCCCCAGGAATGGAGGAGATATCAAAGAGAGGTGGAGGTAAAGACTCATGCACAAAGGTGATTACTGGAATCTTGAAAATAAGGAGACCCTAGAGGAAAAAGAATGTAGAATTTAAAAGGTGGCCAAGTGGGCAGTAGGACATAGGGATCTGGAAGTTGTTCCTCTAATGAGCCTCAGATGTTGCCAACTACCTTCAACCTGTACAACACCCTGCTTTTCACCCATCCCGCTATGGCATTCAAAGATCCCTATTAAAGAATCCTCAGTGGTTTCTGACCAAATGACTTCTTTGCACGGCATCATGAGATAGATCAACAAGTCATCATCAAGATTAAAAGCCCCTATGTGCTTTGAGAGAGATCTAGCTTGCCTATTCTGCTGTGTTCTCAGGGCCAAATATAGTATGTTACATAGACACTCAAGAAATATGTGCTCAACTAGTGAAGAAGAGGAACAATAAAGCCCAGAGATGTTGGTCCACAAAATGCTGGGCAGTTAATCTCCTTATCATTTTTCTAGCTCTGCGAGCAATAGATAGAGTTCCTAGTGACGGGAAGAGAAAAAAAGATTATTTCAAAAATTTTACAATTGAGTATGATAGAAACCTAAAACAAACCAGGTACACTGAATATGAGGGAGCATCACCTTTCAAAGTATGCACCTCAGATAAACAGACCTAGATTTGACCCAGTTCTACTACTTAATACCTCACTTCATTTCTTTGAGCCTTCATTTCCTCAACAGTGAGTTGGAAAAGTAATGCCTACTTCATAGGATTGCCAAGAGTGTTAAAAGCTCTTGACACATGGTGTATGATTAATAAACAGTGGGAAAAACACAGCAACAACAAAACTATGAGATACCACCTCAAACTTATTAGGTGTATTAAAATAAAAACAGAAAATAAGTGTTAAAGAAATCAAAACTCCTGTGCACTGTTGATGCCAATGTAAGATGGTGTAGCTGCTGTGGAAAACAGTACGGCAGTCCTCCCAAAAATAAACATAGAATTATCTGTGGTTAGGACTTCTCACGAAGACAGAGAGTAGATTGGTGGTTACTAGAAAACCAGAAAGGTGGGAAAGGCAGAGGGTCAGATAAAGAGAGATTGATTAATGGGAACCAATATACAGTTAGAAGATACAGTTAGAAGAAATAAGACCTAGTATTTGAGACATGAGTAGGGTGACTCGTTAACATTAATTAACATTAATCTATTGTACCTTTCAAAACAGCTGGAAGAGAATAACTCAAATGTTCCCACCACAGACATAAATATTTAAGGTGATTATTATCTCGATTACCCTGATTTGATCTTTATACATTATATTAATGTATCAAATTATGACATGTACCATGAAAATATGTATATTCATTGTGTATCAGTAAAAAAAGTTTTTAAAAAATAGAATTACCAGATGATCCAGCAATTCCACTTCTGGGTCTATAGTAAAAAGAATTGAAAGCAGAGTGTCCAGAGCTATTTGTACATCCATGTTTACAGCAATATTATTCACAATAACCAAAATGTGAGAGCAACGTGAGTCCATCAACAGATGAATAGATTAGCAAAATATGGTATTCTGCATACAATGGAATACCATTCAGCCTTTAAAAGAAAGTAAATTATGACACATGCTACAGTATGGATGAATGTTGAAGACATTAAGCTAAGTGAAATAAGCTGGTCACAAAAGGATAAACACCATGTGATCCACTTACATGCAGTTCCTAGCATAGTCAGTTTCATAAAGACAGAAAGTAAAATGGAAGTTGCCAGGGCCTGGGGGAGATGGACAGTTACTACTGGATTATAGTTTTACTTTAGCAAAATGAAATGAGTTATGGAGATTGATTGCACAACAATGTGACTGTACACTTCTGAGCTGTACACTTAAAAATGGTTAACCACAATTTAAACAAACATAGCAATAGCAGCAATAACACATGATGAGAAAAAAGAATCAGTTGTGTCCACCAGAGGTCACCCTCACTCAGGGCCCAATAACAAGTCTTTTCAGAGCAGTGCCCTAAAGCTATGGTTCTGTTCAGTGCTGCCCTCAAGGAGGGCAAGATTGAATAAAGAGAGTGACCAAGTAACAAGGGAGGCACTTAAGTTACTTTAGAAAAGGCTGTTTTTCTCAGAATTATTCCCCACAGAAAAGGGGCACCTGGTTTAGACATCAAAAACCTTGTTTAGAAAACAGAAAGACCAAGGAGCTGAGATTTTTATGTTAATGCAGTGAGAAAGACGGGTGGGTGTTACAAAAAGAACATGACAAGAAAAGCTAAACTTCTGGAGAAAGAGTGTAAAGCTAGAGAGTTTTATGGAAGAGAAATGAATGGAAGAGAACACATGGAACAATGTTCCATGGAAGAGAAATGGAAACACATGGAAGAGAAATGAATGAGCTGAAAAGCGAGCCACATTTCTACATGAGGGCAAGAGTGGGTCATTACTGGGCCAGGGGGCAAGTTCTACACGACAGGGAGTGGCATCTGGGTTCTGTAGGCTGGCCTGAGCCATCAGGCTCCATCGTTCCCAGTTGTTATGGGAACTGTGTAGCTGCCTACTAGTTTCTCAGACCTATTTTAATACACAGAGGCAAAAGATCAGCACATTTTGGTGATTAGGAGGTCAGTGTCAGGCTTGGAGAGAATATTTTCAAAATGTTTGTGGAATTTGAAGTTATATTAACTACAAGAGATCAAAAAGTGAGAGTGAAATGAATAATGGAGGGAACAGATAGTGATCTTTTTTTTAAGAAAGCTGTTCTGAAAAAGAGAGAAATAAGATATTAGTCTTAGAGGTCAGCAGGAACAAGCATGAGAGATAGCAATGTTTTCTTTTCTTCTGTAGCAGGCCAATTAAGGTCCCTAATCCCCAAGACAGTCACACCCTGGGCCTCAGAATATGTGAATATCTTACCTTGCATAGCAAAAGGGACTTTGCAGATGTGATTAGGCTTCAGGAACTTGAGATGGAGAGATAATCCAGGTGAACCCAGTCTAATCATATGAAATCCTTAAAAGTGGGTAACTTTTTCTGGCTAGGTCACAGGTGCCACACTGCCAGATCTGAAGATGAAGGAGGGGGCCATGAACCATGGAAGGTAGGTGGTCACTAGATGTTGGAAAAGCAAGAAAACAGATTCTACCCCAGAGCCTCCAGAAGGAACCAACCCTGCCACCACCGTAACTCCAGCCCATGGAAACCAGTGTCAGACATCTGACCAATACTGTACAATAATGAATTTGTGGTGTGTTACATTTATGGTAATTTGTTACAGATGCAATAGCAAATGAAGACACTTGCTTACAAGAAAGCTTTTTAAATAACAAAAGTACAATGTAGAAGAGTACAAAATTATGTATTACAGTATTAACTAAAGCATTAAATGGGAGGTTACTAAACACACATCCCATATGTCAAAGTGCTACAGATATACCAGTTAGTCTAGCCATGAGAAGACTAAACAACTATTATCAGTATGTTTCTTTAAATGGGAATTTATGAGTCTTTTTTTTTTTTTGAGACAGCCTCGCTCTTGTCACCCAGGCTGGAATGCAATGCTCACTGCAACCTCTGCCTCCTGGGTTCAAGCGATTCTCCTGCTCAACCTCCTGAGTAGCTAGGATTACAGGCACCTGTCACCATGCCCGGCTAATTTTTGTATTTTTAGTAGAGATGGAGTTTAGCCATGATTGCTAGGCTGGTCTCAAACTACTGACCTCAGGCGATCTGCCCACCTCAGCCTCCCAAAGTGCTGGGATTACAGGCATGAGCCACCGCACCTAGCCATGAGTATTAAATAAAACTAACATAACAAAGAAGAGAAAAAGAAGCATACTTGAGGAAAAATTATTGCTTCTAAATCAGAAGCATCTATCATTTATTCAACACATATCTATTGAATACTTCCTCTGTGATCTGCTCTATAGTAGGCTGTGGTGATAGGACAAAGAAAACAAGATGGACAAACTCCTTTTTCTCCAAGAGCTCACATTCTAACGTTAGACTAAAACAATAAAGCAATAAGCATATAAAAATATGTCACATGACAAGTGCCTGATAGAAAAATACAATGGAATTTGGGGATATCAGGTGACTGAAGGAAATGCTAATATCAAGGATGGCAAGGGAAAGACTTTCTAAAAAGCTGGCCTAAGAGATGCTACCTGAATATAGTAGAGGAGTAAGTATATGCATATCTGGGGACACATGTTCCAGGCAGAGGAGATAGTAAGTGAAAAGGCCCTGGGGTGTGTGCACATTTGGCAAGCTGAAGGCTGAATGAGCAGTGCCCTGTGTGTAGCCAAATGAGAAGAGGAAAAGTGCTAGGAAATTAGCTCAGAAAGGAACAAATATATGTATGGGGAGACAGATAACATAGAACCTTATATGCCAATTTTAAGACTTTTGCTTTTACTTTAAGACATGAAGCCACAGGAAATAGAGTTCTGAACAGAGCTGTGATATAATTCAAGTTAAACATTACAAGAACTACTCTGAGTGCTATGTTGAAACTAATCAGGGGAGGAAGTGGCAAACATACAACAATTTCAGTTTGAACTGGAAATGATGGAGACTTGGATTACAATAGCAACCCCGAAAGAGGTGATTGGGAGCAAAATTAGATGTAGTCTACAGAAGAGATATGGAGTCAAGAGTGACTCCAAGATTTGGGGCGTGAACAACTGGAAAATTGACTTGCCACCATGGGGAGATCACACAAGATGACATGGCTGTCTACCATTTGCCTCTAGAGAAACCTTCCAAATCACCTCGCCCCACTCCAGACACATTAACCACATTCTCCTACTGCCCCATCTCTTGGCTCTGCCTCTGTGGTTGCTCCAGCCTGCTCCTGCCTCCAGCCTTTTCCATTAGCTGTGCTCCACAACTTCAAAGGTGCAGTCAAGAACTCTTGGAATTGCCTTCATTTTGCTTGAGGATTGGAAGAGAAGGAGAAATAACAGTTTTCTCTTTGCAAATTCCTCTCTAAGTATTCCATCTTAGTAAATCAAAAATGAATCTCTGGGTGTTGTTAATGGTGATGAATGGGTCTCTGAAACACTCAGATCCTGAAGGGTGTATAGGCTGTGTCTAGTTCCTCCATTAAAATCGTGAGGATACGTATCCATATCATTCTCAGCTTTGAAGCTGTAGCCAAAATATAGATGCAACAGAAAAAGTCTCTTTTATATTCATCATGCTAAATATATATGATATCATGCAGTCAACAAAATAACAATTATAAATAATAAAAATGTGAATTATCTCCTTGTATACAAGTGAGAAATTAAAAATTAGGCCATTTACAAAAGAAATATTAATATACAAATATGTAATAACTATAATAAAATCAAAGATATTAAATCAAACTATATTAAAAATAAAAATTTTAAATATCAATATTAATAAAAATAAACATTAAAGATATCATCTGCCTAGTAAATTGAATATGATTAAGGGAATTACCCATTACTATTATATGCAACAAGGATTAGCAGGAAGTCTGTTAATTGGTATGAATTTATGGATTCTAAAAATGTATTTTTTAAAAAATCAGTAAAAAATGGCAAAATATTTGTATAGACTAATTGCATAATTACATGTAAAAGTAAAATTTGGAAGCAATATGAAAGTCAATATTATATGATAGATTAAATCAATTATAGAATACCACTATGTATTTATTAAAAATAATGCTTGTATATACATTTGAAAGACGGGGCAGATAAATGATAGATATCCACACTATATTGCTAAGTATCAAAAAGCATATCACAAAATAATAAAGATAATGTGATCACATACATGTTATACATAGATTACAGAATTCACATAAATGTATGTGCATTTATATCATCAATAGCATCAGTAGCTTTTATTTTCTTTATTTTCTAAATTTTTCTATGTGTGTAAATTTTGTTGATAAAAAAACAGCAATAAAAGTCATACCTATGTTTTCGGAATGTTGACTTCAGAAAATGTTTATGACATAATGCTGAAAAAGGAGAATACAAAATTACACACAAAAAATGATTGCAGATGAGTAGAAAAGAAAATTTAGAGAAGAATAAAAGCTGTAAGAAAATACATAGAAATATTCACAATGGTGATCTCCAGGTAATTTTTTTCTTTATATTTTATGAATGCCCCATATCAAGCATATATTATCTTCATCCTCAAAAATGTTATTCTAAGACATGTTTTTGCTTGTATTGTTTTATTTGTCTCCCTAGCTGGATTGCTTTGTAAGCTTAAGGCTTGGAAGAGAACTGATTTTTATTGCTCATTCCCCTTCTTCACATCCCACATTGCTTTATTTTGAAGAAGCTCGCAGCTGATTGATTTCCCACTTCATCTTTGTCTTTGCACCAAGCCCACATTCTTACCTTCAATCTACCCCTTGTTGCTATTTTATTTCTGTCTCCTCTATTTCACTCTGGGATGATTGTTCTGAAATACGATTCATTGTTCTGAAATATGACCATTAATCACCCCAGAGAAAAAACTGTGCAGACAGACATAGGAAAATCTGGACTTTTATAATGCAATGTCTAATATCAATGTCCCCAGTGCGATTTCGATGTGAAAAGGATATAATCTAACAAAAGAAATAAAGATGAAGTCTCTGACATCCTGAGGAAAAAAAAAACAGGAGCCATTACTATTAAGTCCTAGCAGGAGGGAGATACAGCTCTGAGTCACCAAACTAGATTATGTCCTCAAGGAAATCTGTAAAATTAAGACTATCAAAGCTGACCCAGCTGGTTAATTAGCACACTGTACAGCAGATTAATTTTATAGTTTGATTTTTATATTCTAACCTACAGTCTAATAAGTTAAGCCAATTACATTACCAAGGACTTGATAAGTTCTCTTTCTCATATGAGCCCACCACCAGTCACTAAATTTGCCTATACTTTATATACTATCAGGGTGATTTTTGTTAGATACCTGATTTCACAGACCTCCGTGCTAAAGCATCAGCAAGCAGTGAAATGCTTCCAGAACAGCTAACACACAAAATGTTACGCGTAGATCCCAACTAGTGCCAGCTGAAGGAAATGATTCATTTATTAAGGCTGTAATTACAGGCTATGAAACAGCTGGTTAGGGGCTCGTTCTCCCAGCTTGAGCTACTTTCTAACATCTGTTAGTATGAGCACAGTAAGGCACTGACTTATTCTTTTAAGTGTCCTCTCCCAGATAGAAAAAAATATTATGTTTCAGAGGGAGGACTTAGGGTGTTCAGTCAGAACAATAAACAAGAGATCAAATGTTGGGGAGCCAGGATGACCAATACAGGAACTTGAAAAGGGATATATGCTGAAGATTGTGTGACATCTTTTTTTAACTAAACAAAAGCCCATGTCATGCATGCCACCCTAGAATAGGCTTTATTGTCTAAGAGTTCCAAGATGATGATGCTGATGTTAATGATAATGCTGCTGCTGATGATGCCCTTTAATTGCTTTAGCTTTCCATGCCCATTTTATTACAGAACCGGGATTAGTATTTTGCTTTATGTAATTCATATTCTCTCTCTCTCTTTTTTCTTTTTTTTACCAGAAGAGAGTGCTTTAATCTCATTGGTGAATTTAGGAAGAACAAACAGCACAACTCACCTCCTCTGCTTTTCTTCTTGGGAGTTGGGTTTTAGCTGGAGGAGAGTAGAAGACCCCTCTCATGTTAGGATAACTTCCACAATTTAGTCTTTGTCATTTAAAGCAATGCTATTTTGGCAGGCATCTGCTACTCTTTTCTATTTCTGAATCTAGTCTGAGCTCAGGGTAGGATCAGGGCAGGATTCAGTGGACCCTCTTGAAGACCCAAGCACACTGTAAGCACTTAATATATTTTAGCAAATGCCATTCCTTCCTGTCAACTGCTACAGGAATTTGTTTTTGCATTTTTTCCCTTAAAGCATTGAACCATTCTCTAGTTCCACTAGTTTTGTCTTGTCTAACTCTCTACTAGATTATAACCCATAGGAAAAAGGCTGAATCTTCTATTTTCTCTCTTGTTTTAAATAACTCCCTGAACATAATACTTAGTACTGCATGAATAAAAGATGGCACGTAAGTATTGTATATGCACCATAAAGTACCATCATTGTGAATTCGATTGGATTAAAAATTAAAACAATTTAATGAAAATTCACCTCATATCAGGATTTTACGTATTAACATTTTCTTTGAAGAATGCTTTGTGATGTAAGTGGCCCTTTCTTACGCGGGTAGGTTTGTTTGTTTGTTTTTGTTTTTGTTTTTTTTTTTGAGATGGAGTCTTGCTCTGTCGCCCAGGCTGGAATGCAGTGGCGCCATCTCGGCTCACTGCAAGCTCCGCCTCCCGGGTTCAGGCCACTCTCCTGCCTCAGCCTCCAGAGTGGCTGGGGCTACAAACACACACCGCCACGCCCGGCTAATTTTTTGTATTTTTAATAGAGACAGGGTTTCACTGTGTTAGCTAGGATGGTCTCCATCTCCTGACTTCGTGATCCACCCGCCTAGGCCTCCCAAAGTGCTGGGATTACAGGCGTGAGCTACTGCACCCGGACATTACCCAGGTAGTTTTAACCTAAAGGTTGATACAGGAGCTCTCCAAGCCAGTTATTTCTGTGGCTATATTTTTCACTGTACCATGTGTCCCAATCCCCAATAATGCAACATACGCGCGCACGCACACACACACACTGGCTTCAAGGCTTCAAAAACTGAAACATGCTAACATTATAAAAAAGATGCAATGATATCTAAAATAATATAAATATGACCTTTTGAACAAGAGTGATTATTGCCTTCACTCCTGAAGGACATAAGAAGGATTTTTCTTATGTTCTACTGAGAAAAACTAAAAATCAGGGGAAAAAAAAAACCCGTGTGTGTGTGTGTGTGTGTGTGTGTGTGTGTGTGTGTTGCATTATAAAATATGCTATAAGACATTAGGTGACATTATGCTTGGAGATGATTTTTATACAAAAGATATATATTATTAATAAGTACTACAAACTTGCAATCTTTATCTTAATAAAGATTTACTTGAAGAGGGTATATTGGTGACAGTGTGGTCAGTGGGAAGAGGACCCAGTCAGGAGTGAGAATACTAGATTTTAAGCCACCTTTTACACCAACGGGTGGCCTGATGTTGGACATTTGCATACATACCTTACCCTTACGAGTATCAACTTTCTCATCTGTAAAATTAATGAATTAGAATTGCACAGCTCTAATGGTGTACAGCTATTGTTTTAAAAATGTACAGTGAATGGGCTGTTCAAGCTAACAGTGGCCTTTTTAAAAATACACATCTACAAATAATGATCTGTATTAAATGGCATGGTTTAGAATAGAGTAAGACACGGAAACCAAATCCCAGCTCTATCACTTCTTACCTGCATGATGTTGAGCAACTTATTTAAGCTCTTTGTCAGTTTCCTTATCAATAAAATGTGGATAGTAAATAGTATCTGCTATAAGAACAAAATAAGATAATACTAGTAAATTTCCTAAAATGGTGACCGTCAGGTAGTAAAAAAAATAACAAAGTTATTTTTATTAGCTTCTGAAGCACAAAACTGTCTCTATCCCAAAAAATATTTGTGGAAAGACTATTTGTGGGCCAAGATCATATAAAGAAAAAGTAATCACACGTTTTCTGACGATCTCCTCCAAATAGCTTTAAGAAAAAGATTCAATATTCCATCTAAGAGCTGCCTGTCTGTACCATAAATATTCATTCTCATGTTTCTAAAACAGAATTATAATTTGGTTTACTCTTGGTGATTTAGAAAACGTATGATTAATTTTATTGTTTGGTCATTCTTTGTTAACCTTATAGTTGGGTGACATCCCATTGCCACAAATACTTTCCCTCACATTTCCAGGGTGTAACCTTTAAGAAGAAATTTAATACATAAAATTCCCCACTCCTGACATTAATCACATTGTAGGAGGTACAATGATAGGAATTAACCAGATGTAGATAGCATTATTAGGACAATTAGTAATAATTACTAATGTTATACAAATGGAGGAATCTTACTGTTACTTAAGGAGATATATCATGAGAGTGACTCAGAGTAAATTTTAAGGATTGGATTTTGATCTGAATAAATGATTGTGACCATGCTTAAGCAACGATATTTTGAATTTTGAGACTTCTCTTCCTGATTATTGCGTGAGAAATGAGTAGTTGATCTTAAAGGCTTGAATTATGTTGCACAGTGAATTACCTCATCTTTTAGGGTCAATAAACCACTTCAAGCTTTAGAACTAGGTTCCTCTTTCAAGCCATGAATATAATGAGATGACACAGCAAATTGCCTAAGGAAGAAGATAACACTAAGAAAACTGAATGTCAATACCATTAGCATTTGTTAGGGACAAAAGAAGGTACCTTAGTGACTTTGAAGGTATCCAATAAACACATTCTTATACATTCTGACCTTCCATGAGCTGTATTCTGGAGGACAAAGGAGTTAAAGGAAAAGTATAAAGATCAGAGATTTGGGAGAGTATGATATTATTTAAACACACTTTAGAAAATATATTTTCTACCAAGGTATGATAAATGTGTGCTCTATTTCTAGATTTCATGCTTGTGCAGTTTTCTAAAAATTCATGCTTTGTTTTGCCACTGTAACAGAGTGGGAATAAAAACTCAAATGCTATTTTGTGGTTTAGTTGAAGTTAGGTCAGTACAGAGATACAGAATTCATAAACCAGCTTTTCTTAATAGAAAACTGTCTTTTTCGACATGATTGTATATCTAGAAAACCCCACTGTCTCAGCCCAAAATCTCCTTAAGCTGATAAGCAACTTCAGCAAAGTCTCAGGATATAAAATTAATGTGCAAAAATCACAAGCATTCTTATACACCAACAACAGACAAACAGAGAGCCAAATCATGAGTGAACTCCCATTCACAATTGCTTCAAAGAGAATAAAATACCTAGGAATCCAAATTACAAGGGACATGAAGGACCTCTTCAAGGACAACACAAACCACTGCTCAAGGAAATAAAAGAGGATACAAACAAATGGAAGAACATTCCATGCTCATGGGTAGGAAGAATCAATGTCGTGAAAATGGCCATACTGCCCAAGGTAATTTACAGATTCAGTGCCATCCCCATCAAGCTACCAATGACTTTCTTCACAGAATTGGAAAAAACTACTTTAAAGTTCATATGGAACCAAAAAAGAGCCCACATCACCAAGCCAATCCTAAGCCAAAAGAACAAAGCTGGAGGCATCACACTACCTGACTTCAAACTATACTACAAGGCTACAGTAACCAAAACAGCATGGTACTGGTATCAAAACACAGATATAGATCAATGGAACAGAACAGAGCCCTCAGAAATAATGCCGCATATCTACAACTATCTGATCTTTGACAAACCTGAGAAAAACAAGCAATGGGGAAAGGATTCCCTATTTAATAAATGGTGCTGGGAAAACTGGCTAGCCATATGTAGAAAGCTGAAACTGGATCCCTTCCTTACACCTTATACAAAAATTAATTCAAGATGGATTAAAGACTTAAACGTTAGACCTAAAACCATAAAAACCCTAGAAGAAAACCTACGCATTACCATTCAGGACATAGGCATGGGCAAGGACTTCATGTCTAAAACACCAAAAGCAATGGCAACAAAAGCCAAAATTGACAAATGGGATCTAATTAAACTCAAGAGCTTCTGCACAGCAAAAGAAACTACCATCAGAGTGAACAGGCAACCTACGAAATGGGAGAAAATTTTTGCAACCTACTCATCTGACAAAGGGCTAATATCCAGAATCTACAATGAACTCAAACAAATTTACAAGAAAAAAACAAACAACCCCATCAAAAAGTGGGTGAAGGACATGAACAGACACTTCTCAAAAGAAGACATTTATGCAGCCAAAAAACACATGAAAAAATGCTCACCATTACAGGCCATCAGAGAAATGCAAATCAAAACCACAATGAGATACCATCTCACACCAGTTAGAATGGCAATCATTCAAAAGTCAGGAAACAACAGGTGCTGGAGAGGATGTGGAGAAATAGGAACACTTTTACACTGTTGGTGGGACTGTAAACTAGTTCAACCATTGTGGAAGTCAGTGTGGCGATTCCTCAGGGATCTAGAACTAGAAATACCATTTGACCCAGCCATCCCATTACTGGGTATATACCCAAAGGACTATAAATCATGCTGCTATAAAGACACATGCACAGGTATGTTTATTGAGGCATTATTCACTACAGCAAAGACTTGGAACCAACCCAAATGTCCAACAATGATAGACTGGATTAAGAAAATGTGGCACATATGCACCATGGAATACTATGCAGCCATAAAAAATGATGAGTTCATGTCCTTTGTAGGGACATGGATGAAATTGGAAATCATCATTCTCAGTAAACTATCGCAAGAACAAAAAACCAAACACCGCATATTCTCACTCACAGGTGGGAATTGAACAATGAGAACACGTGGACACAGGAAGGGGAACATCACACTCTGGGGACTGTTGTGGGGTGGGGGGAGGAGGGAGGGATAGCATTGGGAGATATACCTAATGCTAGATGACGAGTTAGTGGGTGCAGCGCACCAGCATGGCACATGTATACATATGTAACTAACCTTCACATTGTGCACATGTACCCTAAAACTTAAAGTATAATAATAATAAATAAAATAAAAAAATAAAAATAATAAAAATAAAAATTAAAAAAAATAAAATACATTACACATTAAAAAATAAATAAATAAAATTGGAGCTTTCAGGCAAAAAATAAAGATAAACTTTGCATGTTCTCACATTTGTGGGAGCTAAAAGTGTTTTAAAATGTACAGATGGAGATAGAGAGAACAATGATAGTTATCAGAGGCTGGAAAGAGTGGTGTGTAGGGGGAGGGGAAAAATGGGGATGATAGGTATGAAAGTATATTTAGATAGAACAAATAAGATCTAATACTTGATAGCACAATAGGGTGATTATAGTCAACAATAATGTATTGTATATTTATAATAGCTAAGAGTAAAATTTAAATATTTGTAACACAACAAAATGGTTAATGCTTGAGGAGATGTATACCCCATTTACCCTGATGTGATTATTATATAGTGTATGCCTTTATCAAAATACCTCATGTACTCATAAGTATATATACCTACTATGTACCATAACAATTAAAAATTAAATTTTTTAAAAAATTAAGAAAAAATACACACAATGTATCTAATATTATAACAACATGTTCTAGCAGTTAAATATATACAATTAATTGCACATTGCCAAATCCTCTTGATATGATTAATCCAAGTTTTCTAGACCATGAATCTAGGCTTGATTTTTTAGCCCCAAACCATGTGTACAATTATTACCAGTCATCCCATTTGGCACTTTATACTTAACAAAACTTATCTGAATTTAAATAATGCAACCCAAAATCTGCTCCTGGCCCTGTGTCCTATTTTAGTGAATTATGACCATTATCCATCTAGTTGCACAATTTTGAAATTTGAGTGTTAAGCTCAATACTCACTCTCCTTTCCAGTAAAACCTGTCAATTGTACCCTCTAAATAGGTCATGAATCCATCCTCTCCTTTCCATTCCCACTGCCACTTCGGCAATCTTAATTTATTTCTGTCAGCTTAAAACAGACAAAAGCTTTGGAGATGGGTGGTTATGTTGGCAGTTTGTAAATGAAAACACAAACCATCACTCATGGGCATAAATCATATAATATTCGATGCCTTTGATAGAAGAGGCATGAAATTCTAAGAGCTTTTTTTGAAATTTTAGATTCAGTTACTGTCCTGAACTGGCTTAATAGGTTAACCCTCAGAGTTCCAAGCAGTGGCTCATGCCTGTAATCCCAGCACTTTAGGAGGCCGAGGTGGGTGGATAACTTGAGGTCAGGAGTTCGAGACCAGCCTGGCCAACATGGCAAAACCCTGTCTCTACTAAAAATACAAAAATTAGCTGGGCATGATGGTGGGTGCCTGTAATCCCAGCTACTCGGGAGGCTGAGGCAGGAGAATCACTTGAACCCAGGAGGTGGAGGTTGCAGTGAGCCGAGATCACGTCATTGCACTCCAGCCTGGGTGACAAGAGCAAAACTCCATCTAAAAAAAAAAAAAAAAAAAAAAAAAAATTCTGTATTGGGACAAAGACAGAGATGACATAGGGGCCCAGGGCAACAATACTCTTAGAGAAGATACAACTTTAAGGCAAATATTAGGGGAAATCTTTAGAAATAGATACCCAAAAAGCAGTATTATTCTGCATTTGAGGGGTAAATTTTTTAGAGGGGAGAACATAGATTTTTCTGTTATCTTCATGACTTCACACCAGCCATGCAGAGAGGCATCAGGGAGCTCCCCATCACCCAATGCAGCATCCCAAGGGCTTCCTATCACCTTGTGTTTCCACAGTTGGGTATAGCCCAGGTCCAAGGAAATTGCAGCAAGTCACAGACCCCAAGGCCAATGTTCTTAGCCCTTGCGTGCATCAGAATCTCTAGAATCAAAATATAAATGTCTGTTCCACTTTCCAGGAGATTCTGAGTTACGCTTCTGATTGTTGAACACATGACTTGACACTGATGAAGTAAATAACAGTAAATGCAACCTCTGAGTACCTTCTCTAGATTTAGCATTTTACTCAATGTTTTAAATGCATGAGTTCATTTAATATTTAATCTTCACAATAATGTGAGGTCAATATTGTTAACCCCATTTCAGCCATAAGGAATCTGAAGCTCAAAGAGCAGTTTGCAAGTTACAGACCCAGAATTCAAACCTGGCTCCAGTTTACACCAAATCCAAACCCATAACCTACCACTGCACAATGCTTTCTCTTTGAGATGCTGTCGTAGTTGTAACCTCCATCCAGATACTTACTGCATGAGCTTGACGACTGTTTGGAGAGTAAGGAAGAGGGTAGGTAAGTTCATCTTACCTCCATTTACTTCATATTGGAAAACTGATGCTTCTCTTTTCAAGGACTCTTACAAACAGGGCCTAGGATAAAATTTAATGGGTTGACGACAATATAATAGGTCTTTTCATCTGCAGACTGCTAGTAGAAATTTATTTCAGAAAATACCAATCTTTAAATGGCTTCCATACCTTTCCCACAGGTTGGCAAATAAACACTTTCCTTGGATCCATCATGTGTCCTGAGACCTGCTCAGGGTTCCTAATCTCTCCATCCTCACCACATCATTAGCCTTAGACCTGTTTTTTGACTCTTCAGGTCTCACATCAGCAGTTCATTAGGCTTTCCTACATCTTTTCTCTTTCTTCCTGATACCAGTAGCTTACTTTTAGTTGACTTAAGGTCACACCAGTACTACTCCTTTTCCTTTTTTTCATGATTTATTCTTCTAAAAAAACAAACAAACAAAAATAAACCTAGGTTTATCATTGCTGAAATCAAGGAGTAAAATACCTTCGGCAGAGCTCTGTTACAAATCTTACAGTGGCCCCTGTGGTGCAATCCTCTTTTTTAACTGCTCAAAAACTCCACACATTTTACTGTGTGTCAAGTAACAATCTGTAAATGACATTTCTAATGAAAACGGGGTGGGGGGAGGGACATTACAACCTAACAATCAACATTTAAAATAACCTTCATTTCATTGTAAAGTAATAAGTAGGGAGGTCCCATCAAGTTCATAAATCAGTAGCTGATGTCCCAGAAAATAACCAGTGTCCCAACTTTCTTTCTCTTGCCATAAAGTTCTGACACAGAAGCATTTTGACTCCTCAAATGTACTCATCTCTTGGCTCTCACTGTCATTAGGCTGCAGAAATAAAGGCTAGATTTCCCCCCAGCATCGTGTGCAGAGGTCTATCACATGACTGCCAACACAGCACAAGATCAGTAGGAGCCAAAGACTAATGAGCACAAAGTCTACCCAGGTACCACAAGGGGGATAGAGTTAAAAATAGAAAACTATTTGTAAGGTTTGTGCCAATTACTCTCTAAATTATTACCTGAGAGCAATTTAATAGAGAAGAGGCTAGAATTATAACTTCATGACCAGGGGAATTGTGGCTCATTTTTTTAACCTGGAATAATGATCAAGTCGTTTCTTTAAGGCTCCTGTCTGTAAGATAATAACAAGAATATAGATGAATGGATGAATAGATAGATGACAGATCAATAGATAGATAGATCAATAGATATGGGTGGAGGGGCAGAGAATGAAAGGATCCATGGCTTCTTGTCACAAATAACTGTGGCATGTCATATCGCCAATATTCTCCGATTAGAGGCACAGATTAGAAAGAAAGTATGAGTGGGGAGGAGCCAAGATGGCCGAATAGGAACAGCTCCCGTCTACAGCTCCCAGCGTGAGCGACACAGAAGACGGATGATTTCTGCATTTCCATCTGAGGTACCGGGTTCATCTCACTAGGGAGTGCCAGAAAGTGGGCGCAGGTCAGTGGGTGCGTGCACCGTGCACCAGCCGAAGCAGGGTGAGGCATTGCCTCACTTGGGAAGCGCAAGGGGTCAGGGAGTTCCCTTTCTGAGTCAAAGAAAGGGGTGACAGACGGCACCTGGAAAATCGGGTCACTCACACCCGAATACTGCGCTTTTCCGACCGGCTTAAAAAACGGCGCACCACGAGATTATATCCCACACCTGGCTCGGAGGGTCCTACCCCCACGGAGTCTCCTTGATTGCTAGCACAGCAGTCTGAGATCAAACTGCAAGGCTGCAGCGAGGCTGGGGGAGGGGCGCCCGCCATTGCCCAGGCTTGATTAGGTAAACAAAGCAGCCGGAAAGCTCCAACTGGGTGGAGCCCACCACAGCTCAAGGAGGCCTGCCTGCCTCTGTAGGCTCCACCTCTGGGGGCAGGGCACAGACAAACAAAAAGACAGCAGTAACCTCTGCAGACTTAAATGTCCCTGTCTGACAGCTTTGAAGAGAGCAGTGGTTCTCCCAGCACGCAGCTGGAGATCTGAGAACGGGCAGACTGCCTACTCAAGTGGGTCCCTGACCCCTGACCCCTGGGCAGCCTAACTGGGAGGCACCCCCCAGCAGGGGCACACTGACACCTCACACGGCAGGGTATTCCAACAGACCTGCAGCTGAGGGTCCTGTCTGTTAGAAGGAAAACTAACAAACAGAAAGGACATCCACACGAAAAACCCATCTGTACATCACCATCATCAAAGACCAAAAGTAGATAAAACCACAAAGATGGGGAAAAAACAGAACAGAAAAACTGGAAACTCTAAAAAGCAGAGTGCCTCTCCTCCTCCAAAGGAACGCAGTTCCTCACCAGCAACGGAACAAAGCTGGATGGAGAATGACTTTGACGAGCTGAGAGAAGAAGGCTTCAGACAATCAAATTACCCTGAGCTACGGGAGGACATTCAAACCAAAGGCAAAGAAGTTGGAAACTTTGAAAAAAATTTAGAAGAATGTATAACTAGAATAACCAATACAGAGAAGTGCTTAAAGGAGCTGATGGAGCTGAAAACCAAGGCTCGAGAACTATGTGAAGAATGCAGAAGCCTCAGGAGCCGATGCGATCAACTGGAAGAAAGGGTATCAGTGATGGAAGATGAAATGAATGAAATGAAGTGAGAAGGGAAGTTTAGAGAAAAAAGAATAAAAAGAAATGAGCAAAGCCTCCAAGAAATATGGGACTATGTGAAAAGACCAAATCTACATCTGATTGGTGTACCTGAAAGTGATGCGGAGAATGGAACCAAGTTGGAAAACACTCTGCAGGATATTATCCAGGAGAACTTCCCCAATCTAGCAAGGCAGGCCAACATTCAGATTCAGGAAATACAGAGAACGCCACAAAGATACTCCTCGAGAAGAGCAACTCCAAGACACATAATTGTCAGATTCACCAAAGTTGAAATGAAGGAAAAAATGTTAAGGGCAGCCAGAGAGAAAGGTCGGGTTACCCTCAAAGGGAAGCCCATCAGACTAACAGCGGATCTCTCGGCAGAAACCCTACAAGCCAGAAGAGAGTGGGGGCCAATATTCAACATTCTTAAAGAAAAGAATTTTCAACCCAGAATTTCATATCCAGCCAAACTAAGCTTCATAAGTGAAGGAGAAATAAAATACTTTACAGACAAGCAAATGCTGAGAGATTTTGTCACCACCAGGCCTGCCCTAAAAGAGCTCCTGAAGGAAGCGCTAAACATGGAAAGGAACAACCGGTACCAGCTGCTGCAAAATCATGCCAAAATGTAAAGACCATCGAGACTAGGAAGAAACTGCATCAACTAACGAGCAAAATCACCAGCTAACATCATAATGACAGGATCAAATTCACACAAAACAATATTAACTTTAAATGTAAATGGACTAAATGCTCCAATTAAAAGACACAGACTGGCAAGTTGGATAAAGAGTCAAGACCCATCAGTGTGCTGTATTCAGGAAACCCATCTCACGTGCAGAGACACACATAGGCTCAAAATAAAAGGATGGAGGAAGATCTACCAAGCAAATGGAAAACAAAAAAAGGCAGGGGTTGCAATCCTAGTCTCTGATAAAACAGACTTTAAACCAACAAAGATCAGAAGAGACAAAGAAGGCCATTACATAATGGTAAAGGGATCAATTCAACAAGAGGAGCTAACTATCCTAAATATATATGGACCCAATACAGGAGCACCCAGATTCATAAAGCAAGTCCTGAGTGACCTACAAAGAGACTTAGACTCCCACACATTAATAATGGGAGACTTTAACACCCCACTGTCAACATTAGACAGATCAACGACACAGAAAGTCAACAAGGATACCCAGGAATTGAACTCAGCTCTTCACCAAGCGGACCTAATAGACATCTACAGAACTCTCCACCCCAAATCAACAGAATACACATTTTTTTCAGCACCACACCACACCTATTCCAAAATTGACCACACAGTTGGAAGTAAAGCTCTCTTCAGCAAATGTAAAAGAACAGAAATTATAACAAACTAACTCTCAGACCACAGTACAATCAAACTAGAACTCAGGATTAAGAATCTCACTCAAAGCCGCTCAACTACCTGGAAACTGAACAACCTGCTCCTGAATGACTACTGGGTACATAACGAAATGAAGGCAGAAATAAAGATGTTCTTTGAAACCAACGAGAACAAAGACACAACATACCAGAATCTCTGGGACGCATTCAAAGCAGTGTGTAGAGGGAAATTTATAGCACTAAATGCCCACAAGAGAAAGCAGGAAAGATCCAAAATTGACACCCTAACATCACAATTAACAGAACTAGAAAAGCAAGAGCAAACACATTCAAAAGCTAGCACAAGGCAAGAAATAACTAAAATCAGAGCAGAACTGAAGGAAATAGAGACACAAAAAACCCTTCAAAAAATCAATGAATCCAGGAGCTGGTTTTTTGGAAGGATCAACAAAATTGATAGACCGCTAGCAAGACTAATAAAGAAAAAAAGAGAGAAGAATCAAATAGACACAATAAAAAATGATAAAGGGGATATCACCACCGATCCCACAGAAATACAAACTACCATCAGAGAATACTACAAACACCTCTATGCAAATAAACTAGAAAATCTAGAAGAAATGGATAAATTCCTGGACACATACACTCTCCCAAGACTAAACCAGGAAGAAGTTGAATCTCTGAATAGACCAATAACAGGAGCTGAAATTGTGGCAATAATCAGTAGTTTACCAACCAAAAAGACTCCAGGACCAGATGGATTCACAGCCGAATTCTACCAGAGGTACAAGGAGGAACTGGTACCATTCCTTCTGAAACTATTCCAATCAATAGAAAAAGAGGGAATCCTCCCTAACTCATTTTATGAGGCCAGCATCATTCTGATACCAAAGCCTGGCAGAGACACAACCAAAAAAGAGAATTTTAGACCAATATCCTTGATGAACATTGATGCAAAAATCCTCAATAAAATACTGGCAAAATGAATCCAGCAGCACATCAAAAAGCTTATCCACCATGATCAAGTGGGCTTCATCCCTGGGATGCAAGGCTGGTTCAATATACGCAAATCAATAAATGTAATCCAGCATATAAACAGAGCCAAAGACAAAAACCACATGATTATCTCAATAGATGCAGAAAAAGCTTTTGACAAAATTCAACAACCCTTCATGCTAAAAACTCTCAATAAATTAGGTATTGATGGGACATATCTCAAAATAATAAGAGCTATCTATGACAAACCCACAGCCAATATCATACTGAATGGGCAAAAACTGGAAGCATTCCCTTTGAAAACTGGCACAAGACAGGGATGCCCTCTCTCACCGCTCCTATTCAACATAGTGTTGGAAGTTCTGGCCAGGGCAATCAGGCAGGAGAAGGAAATAAAGGGTATTCAATTAGGAAAAGAGGAAGTCAAATTGTCCCTGTTTGCAGACGACATGATTGTTTATCTAGAAAACCCCATCGTCTCAGCCCAAAATCTCCTGAAGCTGATAAGCAACTTCAGCAAAGTCTCAGGATACAAAATCAATGTACAAAAATCACAAGCATTCCTATACACCAACAACAGACAAACAGAGAGCCAAATCATGAGTGAACTCCCATTCACAATTGCTCCAAAGAGAATAAAATACCTAGGAATCCAACTTACAAGGGATGTGAAGGACCTCTTTAAGGAGAACTACAAGCCACTGCTCAAGGAAATAAAAGAGGATACAAACAAATGGAAGAACATTCCATGCTCATGGGTAGGACGAATCAATATCGTGAAAATGGCCATACTGCCCAAGGTAATTTACAGATTCAGTGCCACCCCCATCAAGCTACCAATGACTTTCTTCACAGAATTGGAAAAAACTACTTTAAAGTTCATATGGAACCAAAAAAGAGCCCACATCACCAAGCCAATCCTAAGCCAAAAGAACAAAGCTGGAGGCATCACACTACCTGACTTCAAACTATACTACAAGGCTACAGTAACCAAAACAGCATGGTACTGGTACCAAAACAGAGATATAGATCAATGGAACAGAAAAGAGCCCTCAGAAATAACGCCGCTTACCTACAACTATCTGATCTTTGACAAACCTGAGAAAAACAAGCAATGGGGAAAGGATTCCCTATTTAATAAATGGTGCTGGGAAAACTGGCTAGCCATATGTAGAAAGCTGACACTGGATCCCTTCCTTACAACTTATACAAAAATCAATTCAAGATGGATTAAAGACTTAAACGTTAGACCTAAAACCATAAAAACCCTAGAAGAAAACCTAGGCATTACCATTCAGGACATAGGCGTGGGCAAGGACTTCATGTCCAAAACACCAAAAGCAATGGCAACAAAAGCCAAAATTGACAAATGGGATCTAATTAAACTAAAGAGCTTCTGCACAGCAAAAGAAACTACCATCAGAGTGAACAGGCAACCTACAAAATGGGAGAAAATTTTTGCAACCTACTCATCTGACAAAGGGCTAATATCCAGAATCTACAATGAACTCAAACAAATTTACAAGAAAAGAGCAAACAACCCCATCAAAATTGGGCAAAAGACATGAACAGACACTTCTCAAAAGAAGACATTTATGCAGCCAAAAAACACATGAAAAAATGCTCATCATCACTGGCCATCAGAGAAATGCAAATCAAAACCACTATGAGATATCATCTCACACCAGTTAGAATGGCAATCATTCAAAAGTCAGGAAACAACAGGTGCTGGAGAGGATGTGGAGAAATAGGAATACTTTTACACTGTTGGTGGGACTGTAAACTAGTTCAACCATTGTGGAAGTCAGTGTGGCGATTCCTCAGGGATCTAGAACTAGAAATACCATTTGACCCAGCCATCCCATTACTGGGTATATACCCAAATGACTATAAATCATGCTGCTATAAAGACACATGCATACGTATGTTTATTGCGGCATTATTCACAATAGCAAAGACTTGGAACCAACCCAAATGTCCAACAATGATAGACTGGATTAAGAAAATGTGGCACATATACACCATGGAATATTATGCAGCCATAAAAAATGATGAGTTCATGTCCTTTGTAGGGACATGCATGAAATTGGAAACCATCATTCTCAGTAAACTATCGCAAGAACAAAAAACCAAACACCGCATATTCTCACTCATAGGTGGGAATTGAACAATGAGATCACATGGACACAGGAAGGGGAATATCACACTCTGGGGACTGTGGTGGGGAGGTGGGAGGGGGGAGGGATAGCACTGGGAGATATACCTAATGCTAGATGACGAGTTAGTGGGTGCAGCGCACCAGCATGGCACATGTATACATATGTAACTAACCTGCACAATGTGCACATGTACCCTAAAACTTAAAGTATAATTAAAATAAATAAATAAATAAATAAATAAATAAATAAATAAATAAATCAAAAAAAAAAAAAAGAAAGTTAATCCCCAAAGCAACAGTGTTGGGAGGTGGAGTCTAATGGGAGGTGTTTATGTCATGAGGAGAGCCCTCATTAATGGATGAGTGCCACTATAAGAAGGGCTTGCAGAAGTGGGTTTCTCCTCTTCTGCTCTTCTGCCATGTAGGAACAGTTTTCACCTGCTCTGGAGGATATGGCATTCAAGACACCATCTTGGGAGTAGAGACCCAGCTCTTAACAGACACCAGATGCCAGCACCTTGATCTTGGACTTCCAAACCTCCAGAACTGTCAGAAATAAATTTCTGCTCTTTGTAAATTACCCACTCTGTGGTATTTTGTTATAGTATCACAAAACAGATTAAAATAATATGTATACATATATATGATACATACAAAATAATTTAATTCCAGTATCAACCTTGAATAGATCTGTGTTACGCCGGTTTTTCACACAAGGAAACATTAACTTAAGTAAATACTCCCTCTACACCCTCTTTAAATTCTCCTGGTCTTCAGGTTATAAACATGCTCAAGCTCTGTTATATTAATCTTCCTCCCATAACTCTTCCTCAACCTTAAGTTTTGCTTGGCTTCCACCACCAAGCTTTTGAAAATGCTAATCACTGTTTATCACCTTCAGTTAGGAAGTAGCAAAGTCAGGATTCAAAGCCAAGTCAGATTGATCCTAAAGTATGGTCTAAGCTCTATACCATATGCATGTTCTTAGCTGTATATTTCTACAATTTTTTTTCGAAGGATGTTTGTGTAGAGAATGTGGCTGTGTGGTGGGTCTCTAAGCGTGAAACAGAACATCAGGTTGTCACACAAATCTGTGATGCCAATGGTCACAAACTCACCTCTCATTCCCCAGAGTGCTATTAAAAAGTATAACTTTCCTTGTCATCTCTATTGATTTCTCCCTTTTCACAAAGGTAAACTCCATGCTCAGCCATCAGGCAGAATCAGTTTAGAGCATTTCCCAACTCTGATTTTCTTTGCTGGAGGAACGAGGGGCAAGAAAAGCAATACATTTTTGCTTTTCAATTCAATCTTTTTCTAATTGAGTCAAGGGCTGCTTACCTTGAGCGAAGTTGTACTTTTGTTTTAAACAAAGCCATCATTTATATAGAGATCTTATCATGAGATGAGGGGCATACAGAAATTTCAATATCGCAAGCCAGAACTCTCTGAAGAGAGTTTTACCACATGGTGAAACTCCCAGTCCAAACTCAGTGAAATGTCAGAATCATGGAGAAATTCAGGAGCTAATGTAGTACAGTAATATATCTAATGTAAGAAATAGTCTTCCTTTAGTCAATTATTTGGTATTTCTACTCCACTGCTTTCACAACTAAGAAAATTGAATGAATGTGAATTAAAGGCTGAATCAAATAAGAAACTAAAATTAATTGCCTTCCAAAGTATAATTTTAGAAGCTGGTACAAAAGTTCCCTGGAGGAAGGAATCTGAAATTAATAATAAATGACTTAGCACCCACTATGCACCAGGAACTTCACTGTTCTTATTTCTAATATTAACAACCCCATGAGGCAGATATGTGTCCCAGAAGACCTTTGACCATTTAAATTCTCCTTTGTAAAATGAAAGCCCCCTTAATATTCACCATGCTTTTAAGAATGTATTTTCCATTCTCTTGGGGGAAATACATCTCTTGATGTATCATGACTGTTATCTGTTATTTTAGGTACACCTTTCTGGAAAGAAAAAATTTTTCACTGTTGTAACAAATAGAAGATTAATGCCTTTCATATTTTGAAGGAAATCTCTGTTCAAAAAACTGTTTCAGGGTTTTTAAATACTGCTACCAAAAAGAGAGAGACTAGTTGTAATTGGAAGCCATCACAGTGGATAAAAAGTAAAGCTGACTTGAGGCTATCTGAAAGAGACTTTGCTAAAACTGTGAACCTGAGGAGACAATGGAACTCTCCCAGTTTGAGTGAATGTAGATCACAAAGAACTGAATCCTGAGCTAGAGGACATTAATGGTCACCAAGGTTGAGGACATGCTCATGACATAGCCTCAGGAAGTGCTGACAACATGTGCCTAAGGTGGTCGGGGCATAGCTTGGTTTTATACATTTTAGGGAGACATGAGACATCAATCAATATATGTAAGAAGTACAGTACTTCCATCCAGAAAGGTGGAGACAACTCAAAGCAAGTCTTCCCCTGGGGACTTCCAGGCCATAGGTAGGTGAGAGAGAAATGGTTGCATTATTTTGAGTTTCTGGTAAGTCATTCCAAAGGAGGCAATCAGAATATGCATCTGTCTCTGTGGGTAGAGGGATGACTTTGAATAGAATGGGAGGCAGATTTGCCCTGAGCAGTTTCTAGCTTGAAGGGGCCCAAGTTATTTTTCTTTCACAGGTGTATGCTAGAAATGGAATTTCTGGATCATAGGATACACATATTCTTAAGGCCAGTGTAGGGAACAAAAAAAGCTTTCTTCTACCCTTCTAGGTTCTCTGGCTGCCTTAAGAGTTAATTTGACATAACACAGGATAACAGAAGGAAAAAAAATTATCACAAATATAAGTATGCATGGAAGTTTCACAAAAATATATGAGACTTGAAGTAGCCTAAGACTGCTGAGACTCCACTGAGACATATATTGTCCTGGGCTATGCAAAGAAACAGCGATTTGGGGCTTCTGGGTATGGGGGAGGAGGTAAATTATGGGAGTGTGAGAGGAGGAAAAGTATAGTTAATAAAAGTTGCCTTGCTATGCCTTGAAGAGTCTCTCAGGTGATAAAAATTGTCTCTGAGAGTAACTGTCTTCCTAATACAGATATTTTTACTGATGAAAATTTCTTTTACAAAAGTGGAAATTTATACACTATTATAAGTGGTTAAGGAGGAAATTAAAAGCTTTTTCTGGGCCTGCTAGTTCTCAATTGCCTTTAGCTCAAAACATTCCATTTTCCAAAATGATATATTTTGAGGTGGCATATTTTGAACCTCTTCATTGGTAATACTACCAAACAGTTTTCCATAATAGTTGTGCTGATATATACCACCAGCAAATTGTAGAATTCCAGTTATTTCACATGGTAAGGATTCTCTTCTACCCTTCTAATTTCTCTGCTGAGGGCTCTATAACAACAACAAAAAAATTAACAAGAGAAAAGCACAAAAATGTATTTAATCTATGTTTTACAACACGGGAGCTTTCATAATGAAAGGAAGACCTGAAGAAACAATTAAACCTCAGTGTTTTTATACTGAGTTTAATGAAAAGCAGAGAGTTGTAGGCAAATGAGATAGGACAAAAAGGGATACAAGCTGAGGGTAGTTGACTGGGGGAAACTTAGCAAGACCTTGTCACTCAGATTCTTCTTGGCATCCATCTGTCTTCAGAGATAAGGATGCTGCTTTTGCAGGAAAAGTGGGGGACTCCTTCACATGAGGGGCTTATGACCTGCTTCAGGAGAAGACTAGAAACTCCTTCCTGCACTTGTCATTTCTCTAACTTCCTCAGATTAAAATATTCAATATGCCATGGGGCCATATTTGGAGTAGAGTGTCCTTAAACCCATCAGCATCCTTACCATTCCCAGTCTTTTTAAGTTTAGGTAGTCTGGTGAGTGTGTGCTGGTATCTCCTTGCAGTTTTAATTTACATGTCCCTGTTAGTGCAGAGAACATTTTCACATCCTCATTGAACATTTGAACATAAATAACCTTTGGGGAAAAAAATCAAGCCATTTTACTAGTGGGTTCATCTAAACTTTTTGGAAATGTATATTGTTTTACAGGAGCCTTTTATATACTTTGAATATAAACAGTTTTTGTTATTTATGATTTTCTTCCCTTCTATCTTGCACTTTCAATCTCTTAATAATGCCTTTTGATCAACAGAAGTTCCTATTCTTAATATAGTTCAATGTCCTTACTTTTTCACTTGTTTCACTACAAATTTAAAGGTATGTTGGCTACCTTTTTATCTAGTATGTTATGCAAAGAAGATTTTTCAATTCTAATCTGCCATATTGTCAGAAACATATGCCAGTTGCTTCTTTTTCTTAAGAACATAAAATACATTTTTCTGAAGGAAACAACATCAATGCAAAAGTCATCTGCTTTCCTTTTTCTTGTTTGCCATGGTTAAAAAATTATGATCAGAATTTTTAAAAATGCATTTCACATAAGCATGTTTTACCCTTGATTCTGCCATACCCACAGGAAACTTAATTGGATCAAACCTCCCTCCTTTCTGCCTCCTAAGAGCCTTGCTTATCTCTGAGGCCCTTGGCCACTTGTTTTATCTGAGGCATTGCCATGGCCAAAAACTCTGCATGAGCTCCATCCAGCTCCACTGAGCTACTAACCTCATAGGGCACAAAGTTGTTAGTCTCCTGACTGCACTACAGAACTCTGACTTATTGCCCCAGGAATTCTGTCAGTGATGAAGTTTGTAGCCTGGAAATACAAGAGAATTGACATCCGTGGAGCAAAACTATGACCAATGGGAGGTAGAAAGCAGTGGAGAAATTCATCTCTTCTCCTACCTGTGGACAGGCTTATTTGAGAAACATTTGTTCATATGCCCTCTCAGAATATGGTCCTGCAAAATCAACTAATCGTCTGAATCTGTACCAAGTGGTAGGCAGCTGGGTAACACATTCCCTCCTTCTCTCTCCTTCCCCCACATCCTGCTTCCCTGAGATTGTACTCCTTAATAAATTAATATCACATAAACATTTGCTTCAGGCTCTAAGCTTTCTGGGGAAGTTAGACAGACACTTAAGGACTCTAACAAATCAGATTCTTATGTTAAACATGGCCATTAAACTAAATGCTTTGTTTCCTTTTTGTTCTAAGGTCCAATGGTTCTTTCTCTTGGAAAATGACTTGTAATTCTACCCTGTGGTCATGATGTGATGAATAGGCATTAAAAACTCACTGAAAGTAAAAACATTGAAAAGTGAAAAGTTATCTTCGGGGTTAAGGAGAATAGTTGCATGATAAAGTGGTGCAAATTGGAAAATGTTTGTTACCAATTAGTTTCTTAAATTACCTATAATTTTCAAACATAATCCCTGTGATGTTACATTTTCTGATAAATCAACAACAGCAACAAAATGGATTACTTTGTCTTATGAGTACCAGTTAAGCCAAGGGAAGTTTCCATTACTAGACTCACACAGACACACACACACACACACACACACACACACACAGCCAAGCATCTCCATTTTAAGATGACCACATTTATGTTTTCTGTCTTTCTTATCTTTTTTCAAAAAATGTTTACTGATGCATAATAGATGTACATGGTTTGGGAGTACATGTGAAAATGTAATATATTGATATAAAGTGTAAACATCAAAATAGTGTACCTGGGATATCTACCCACTTAAATAGTTTTCTTTTTTTTAATACTAGAACCATTTGAATTATTCTCTTTTAGCTCTTTCAAAATGTAAATACATTATTGTGAACTATAGTTACTCTACTGATCTATCTAACACTAATTCTTATTTCTTCCATCAAACCACATATTTGTACCCACTAATCACCTTTTCTTCAAATCCTCCTCCCCCTTACCTTCTTGGCCTCTGGCAACCACAAATTGATTATCTATGTTTATGAGAAACAAGTTTAAACACACACATATGAATAAGAATATGGAATATTTGACTTTGTGCATTTCACTTATGTCATTTAATATAATGACCTCCAGTTCCATCCATGTTGCTAACATATGACAGGATTTCATGCTTTTTTAATGGATTAACAATATTCTATTGTATGTATAGACCATATTTTCTTTATCCATTCATTCCCTGATGGGCACTTAGGTTTATTCCACCTTTTGGCTATTATGGTTAGTGCTCAAATAAACATGGAGTGCAGATATCTTTTCAATATACTGGATTTCCCTTTTGTAAGCAATATGACCAGTAGTGGAATTGCTGGATCTTATGGTAGTTCTATCTTTCAATTTCTGAGGAACCTCTATGCTGTTCTCCATAGGGGCTGTACTAATTTAGATTCCCACCAACAGTGTACAAGTATTCTTCTTTTTTTACATCCTCACCAGTGTCTGTTATTGCCTGAGATTTTTTGTTTCTTTTTTGTTTTCATAAAGGCCATTTTAACAGGAGTGAGATGATATCTCATTGTAATTCTGATTTGCATTTGGTTACTGATGTTAAGCATTTTTTCCATTTACCTAATGGCCATTTGTATGTCTTCTTTTAAGAAATGTCTATTCAGATTCACACATAACATGATCTTATACTTAGAAAAACCTAAAGACGTCACCAAAAATAAATTCAGTAAAGTTGCAGGATACAATATCAACATACCAAACCAGTAGCATTTATATATGCCAACAGTGGGCAATCTAAAGAAGAAATAAAGAAAGCAATCCCATTTGCAATAGCCACCAAGGATACAAAATACCTGAGAATCAATTTAACCAAAGAAGTGAAAGATCTATACAAGGAAAACTATAAAACACTGATGAAAGTAATAGAAGAGGACACCAAAAAATGGAAAGATATTCCATGCTCATGGATTGGAAGAATTAACATTGTTAAA
Source organism: Homo sapiens (assembly GCF_000001405.40). NCBI lineage: Eukaryota > Metazoa > Chordata > Mammalia > Primates > Hominidae > Homo > Homo sapiens. The sequence goes on along the minus strand of NC_000005.10, from coordinate 97,507,312 downwards.
ATGGTAGTACTGTCAAAAGTAGTTTACAGATTAAATACAATCCCTATCAACATATCAATAACATTCTTCACAGAAATAGAAAAATAAACTAAAGTTTGTATTAAACCACAAAAAAAGCCAAAATAATCCTGAGCAAAAAGAACAGAACTGGAGGCATCAAACTACCTGATTTCGAAATTCACTACAAAGCTATAGTAATCAAATCAGCATGGTACTGGCACAAAAATAGACATATAGAACAATGGAACAGAATGGAGAATCCAGATATAAATCCATGCATTTGCAGCCAGCTCATCTTCAGCAAAGGCAAAGAACATACAATGGGGAAAGGATAGTTTCTTCATAAAATGTGCTGGGAAAACCAGATGACTATATGTACAAGAATGAAACTAGACCCCATCACTCACCATACAGAAGAATCAATTCAAAATGGGTTAAAAACTTAAATCTAAGATGTAAAACTATAAACTACTAGAAGAAAACATTGGGAAAACCCTATGGACTTTTTTTGTTTTGTATAAGACATCAAAAGCACAGGCAACAAAAGCAAAAATAGACAAATGGAATTACATCAAGTTAAACAATTCTGCACAGAAAAGTAAGCAATCAACAAAGTGAAGAGATAATACACAGAATGGGAGAAAATATTTGCAAATTGTCCACCTGACAAGTGATTAGCTACCAGAACGTATAAGAAACTCAAACAATTCCATAGCAAAAAAAAAAAAAAAAAACAAATGATTCAATTTACAAATGGGCCAAAATTTATCTTTTGGCTGGGCGTGGTGGCTCACACTTATTTTATTTTGTTTTATTTTTTATTTTTTGAGACAGTGGCGCGATCTCGGCTCACTGCAAGCTCTGCCTCCCGGGTTCAAGCAATTCTCCTGCCTCAGCCTCCCGAGTAGCTGGGACCACAGGCGCCCGCCACCATACCCCAGCTAATTATTTGTATTTTTAATAGAGGTGGGAAGCCAGGAAGGTCTCGCCAGGAAGGTCTCGATCTCCTGACCTCGTGATCCACCCACCTCGACCTCCCAAAGTGTGGGATTACAGGCGTGAGCCACTGTGCCTGGCCCGGCTCACACTTATAATCCCAACATTTTGGGAGGCCGAGTGGGGTGGATCACTTGAGGCCAGGAGTTTGAGACCAGCTTGGCCAACATGGTGAAACCTTGTCTCTACTGAAAATACAAAAATTAGCAGGGAATGATGGAGCATGTCTGTAATCCCAGCTACTGGGAAGGCTGAGGCAGGAGAATCGCTTGAATCTGGGAGGCAGAGGTTGCAGTGAGCTGAGATCATGCCACTGCACTCCAGCTTGGACAACAGAGTGAGAAAAAAAAAAAAAAAGCAAAAGAAAAAAAGTTTATCTTTTAACTTCAACTCACTGCCAGCAGTAAGTGTGAAAAATCACAACCAAACACACTAACCTGCAAATTTCTTTCATAAAGTTGACATGACCTTAATTGGTTTTCATCTTAACATTGAAAAGAATAATTGCATTAGTAACTTGATAAGTATTCTCTGCATTCTCAGTGTGGTCCTGGGACAGCCAGCATGATAATCACTTGAGGTTACTCATTACAAATTATTCCTAAACCCTAATTCACACCTATTGGATCAGCCTCTTTGAAGCTGGGGTTTGAAAATAGACATTTAACAATACTCTGTGGTACATTCTTTTATACATTAAAGTCTTTAAGGACCACCAGTTTATTTAAAGCTTCATTCCAGTCATACAGGTTTTTGTAATCTTCAAACAGGAGACAAAAATTTGGTTTCTCTTATCAGAGAACCATTTTTGTGAGTTGGTATTTTGGGTATGGTATGAAGAGGCACTTGTTAGACTGGCAACAATTACAGTAGATCCCCAAAAGGCTTGGAACTTTGCATCAAAAGAAACTGAGAACAGGGCATTTTTGGATTAGCTTCAGAGGATTTTTTTTTCTAAATCAAAAGAAAACCAGAATATGTTTTATTGTGAAATAGATGCACTGCACTGGAAGAATTAGTATTTTCAAAGAAAACAAGCCGTCTTCTGTTAGTCATATTAATTTATTAACTGTTTCCTTAAGATTTTTCTTTCAAAACAAACTTTTACTGTCCAGTCACATGTTTTTTATATAAAATTTAATTAAATTATAAAGATGTCTAATTACATAAAGAGAGAGAAGCACAAGCACACACAAATATAAAATGAGGTAGAAGAAAATTTCAAAGGTCATTTTTTTCCTGATTAAAATTCATAATAAAATTAAAACAGCTATGTTTTTCATCAAGGAAGTATTTAAGCAGCTAATTTTTATATAAATATATTCCATGCTAGTTCAATAAATTAGAAAAAGGAGCATAATCTTGTTAAGATGCAATTCAGAGGGAACAGTGAATGAATAGCTATTAACATGTGAAAGCAATGAAATGAATGTACTGAATAAATAAGCCCTAAAAAGCTACTCACAGCTAACCAACAGAATTTAGATTTTTTTGTTGTTGTTTCATAAATGAGGTAAGACTTACTTGTGGAGTAACTGACTTCGACATTTTTTTTAAGATGCCAGGAAATTTTTCTTTTGCACATTTCAATGGCAGTCGAGTTCTGCAGCAGCTTGAGAATAAGACCAAGATCACACACTTATCAGGAACATGTGACAAGATCCTGTCATTTTGTCAGAACTTGGTGTTCTGATAAGCTTGCTAGTGGCTCCTTCAGAAATACCACACAAAGGATTGTGGGTCCGATTAAGCATCCAAGGACAGATATTATGATATTTTGTTTCCCCTATCTTTTTTATTGTACTGTTTTCCTTCTCAAAACCTACTAAATTTAAAATTTTTGAATTATAAAATACCTTATTTCTTCTACTTACTTAGAAAACAAATAAACAATCATGCAAACTACAAGTTGCCACTGTTTCAGCTTTGGTTTGGACTTGGTTTAGACTTGCCATGAGCACTAAGGAAAAGGAAGAGTATGCCTCCCATTTCTCAGCTGGAAGGCTTTTCTTGAGCAGCTAGGCCTAACAAAGGTATTTACATAATTTCATCTTTCACATGTACCATCAAGGCCTTATTAAGTTTAGTCTAAATAGAATTACAACTGAAGAGATGAAGCAGTACTCATTGTAAGAGGAAACATCTCTAGAGATATCCTGGATTTCCCTCTTTTTGATGATCAAATCTTTAGTGATTGCGGGTCACTAATGGAGGAAGCATTTGTGTTGCTCTGATCCCAATATTCCAATATTGATTTTCATTAATAACACTAAAGATGAAACTACTGTACGGTACAATTATATTTTTTAAAGTTTTATGTAGAAGTCTTTGAATATTTATTTATAAAATGTGTGAATAAGAAAAAAACATGATTAAAAAAAGGGAAGGTTTCTCACTCTTGAAAAATAAACCATGCAGTCTGGGTGCAGGGGCTCACGCCTGTAATCCCAGCACTTTGGGAGGCTGAGGCGGGCAGATCACGAGGTCAGGAGTTCAAGACCAGCCTGACCAACATGGTGAAACCCCATCTCTACTAAAAATACAAAAATTAGTTGGGCATGGTGGCACGCAGCTGTAGTCTCAGCTACTCAGGAGGCTGAGGCAGGAGAATCGCTTGAACCCGGGAGGTGGAGGTTGCAGTGAGGCGAGATCGCACCATTGCACTCCAGCCTGGGTGACAGAGCGAGACTCTGTATCAAAAATAGAAGGAAGAGAAGGCAAGGGGGGGGGAGGGGACCATGCATATTAATTGCCAACAATCATAGAATTGTTTAATGCATGATTATGATATTATAGGCAAAAATACTTCTTAGGCAAGCTGTGAGAGATGGGAAGAAAATTAGAGATTGTTCAGCAAAGGGAGTTCGAAAATCAGAGAGCAATATTTGTGCTGTTTCAGACACAGACACTGTTGTTAAGTATTCATAATAGTTTGAGGTTTCTTTTAGATGAATATGCCAGGAAAGGCAGATTTTGCTTTGTTTTCTCCTCTTTTATTTCTTTTACTAGTTTAAAAAAGACTAGTATAGCTAAGATGTGTAGTAGCTACATGATAGTATTTACAATGACCATAAATTCCATAAAATTCTGATGCTCTTTATGGGGCCCATAGAGAGGAATAGCTGCCTTAAAGTAAACGGCAATATAAGTAAACAAGATTTTGGTTATTCAAAAAATGATTTATAGTGATATATCTTACCAGATGTTTGAGTTAAATGGCAATTCTTAATACTTAAAGTTAAAAAGAATCCATCCATGTCTAGTATGTCTTATTTTTCTAAATATTGCTAATGTGATTTCCCTTGGCTGATCATTTCTTATAGGAAAAAAATCTAATTTATGCCTAAACAAGTGGAAAAAAATTTTCATGACAAAGTGCAACTGCCTATATCCTATGGTTGTCATTTATTTCAACATTCCTGTCTGAAGCTGTATTAGAAATGGCTATTCTGTGGAGTTCAAGGAACCTCCTGCAGTTTGCTATTAAAATCATTCATTCAAAAAAATCCATTCAGATCCTACTACGTGCCAGGACAGTGCTAGGTGTTGAAGCTACCAATGTGAATACGACAGACACTATCCTTGACTGCTGGGAACTCACAGTTTTGGTGGCAGGTGGGCATCAATTATATAAACACATAGTCAGGACAATTTTCCCAGATGGCATGATACTAGTTCATGCCTGCCACCATCATGACCACTGAAATCACAACTGAGTCCTTCTGGAGCCACAGAACCACTGAATACCCTTCAAAGTGGAAGAGAAGAAACATTGAAACCTTCTAACTTTGGTTATTTCTGATGCTTGCTTATTCCCACATGTACATGACCATTTCTTGATGAAGCCTCTCAAGTAGGACTGAGATTCTTTAGTTCTGAAGACCCTTACTCAGCTTAAGTCTCCTGGAGAAAGTAGAGGGACACAATAATTTTTCTGTTTGTCTGAGAAGGATGAGGGTATTGTTAAATCTGTTCCCAAAATGCATTTAATATCATTTCTCTCCTATAGAACAAGGTTTATAGGTTCAGGTGGCAGCACTGATAAGTTTGAAGAAAGTGAGAGAAAAAAAAATCTACAACGATCTCTTCCCACCATAGCTTGCTACTTTCAGAAGAAAATAGGGTTGAGTAAACCTTTGGAGGAATACTTGGGAGCAATTTTATCTGATGAGTCATGCAGCGTAGAATTTAAGGGATAAAAGATTACCCAGAATCACTAGTCTCACCTCGCTTCTTCTATTCCCTCTACTAGAAACCAGGGCTGAAGGTGGGGGCAGACTAGCAGACAGCTGAATCTGAATTTCTGTACTTTGTGACAGTAATGTTTTAGTCCCATTGAACAACTTTCTCATCTATTGTAAGTTTTCATCCATCTGTCTGGCAGCCAAACCATACAGCTACACAAAATGCACTTGTTTCACTATATCAACTAAGCTTTTAACTTGTCCTAAAAGAGCTAGCAAAAATAAGTGAGAGTGAGTGTACTATGACGCATACAAACCATAGCTGAACAAGGTATTCTAAATTCTTTTCCAGGATTAAGGAAATTAATCAGAGAGTTACAAGCCTATGCCTCACAAAGTTAAGTTTCTCCGTGGAAAGTCTTTCTTTGAATTAGATTAAATGTTTTGTCTTCATTTTATTTACCAAATGTTCATATCAGAAGTAACCATCTAAGTGAAGAACACTTTGTGATTTTTACAGTTACTGTTGAAAACATTTTCTATTGTATTGACTGGTGTTTTTAGTACAACGTCAAACACATAGACACACTATGTAATACACTGTTCCAACAGAGGTATTAGTCATGCTACTCTTGGCAGTCCCTGAAGTCTCAGACAAGGTGCTAAAAATGACCTGAGCACACTGTCTGCCATGTGGTGCCATCCCTTCCCTAGGCCTTGGCAGTTGAAGGATGAGGATATACAACAGAGCAGAGTTTGGCCCATGCTCAGAAGCTACTTCTCTTGCCTATCTGCCTTCTTGAATAACAAATAAACTATTCTTTGAGGTGCTCAGAAATACACATGGCAGAGATCTTTCTTCAAGGTCCATCTAGTATAGCTGAAACAAAAAAGAAGTGTTTAGTAAACAACATAATTGTACCCAAAGGGAGTATCCGTTAAGGTTCTTAGGACTTAATCCTTCAAAAGAGTGAAAGGGTAACAACAACCCTTCACTTATAAATAGCTATGCATTGTATGCTTGGACCAGGATCTCTGCCAAGGCAGAGAAGGGGTCTTTAAAGCACTGTACAAGAATGCTGAAATTGAGTCCCACAGATATTAACCCACAAACTGGTTTATTTTCCTTTTTTAAAACAGATTATCTTAAAAGTGACCCAAAACATTTCTCTCAATATATGAAGAAGAAGGAGAAGGTAGAGGAGTAAAATGAGCAAGAGAAGGAGGAGGAAAGCAGCAGCACCAACAAAGAAAAAAAGAAAATAAGGAAGAGAGGGAGGCAGGGAGGGAGAGAGATATCTATAGGTAAATCAAAGAGAAAGTAGGATTTGGGAGCTCTAAATCAGTTATAGAATAATGCACAATAGCCTTTCTAGTTACAAAGCTAGAATAAAATTTTCTAAAAAAAACTTGAATCCAAGAAAGATACATACCTGAGTAAAACAACAATGGTATTTTTGGAAAATAGAGCTATTAGAATGACAACATTATGGGTTTCTTTTTTCCTCTTAAAATATAAATGTTAATATATTGTATTTGTTATTCATTTTATTTGCTAAAATCTTAAGTGAATTTGCAGTACAGAATATATTACTTAGGATTAGATTTGACTGAGTGACAGAAAACCCAAAATATCCATGGTGTAAGCAAAACAGACATTTATTTCTGTCTTATAAAAACTTAAGAAGTCCAGGGCTATTTTAGTAGTTCCAAAATCATCAGGAACTCCAAGCTCCTTTTGTCCTATTGTTTCTCTCTTGTGATCCAAGATGGCTGACCCAGATCCAATTGTCATGTCTATATTTTAATCAGTGAGAAAAAGAAATAGACATAGGAGCATGCTCTATCCTATTAAGGACATTTTCTCCAAGGTGAAACAGATCCTTATTTCCTATTGGCTAGAATTTAGTCACATCATCAAACCAAGCTGAAAGGAGACTAGACATATGTATTTTGGGTGGCCGCATGTCCTAGTGCTACTGAGGGTGGGGTAGCTCTATTTCATGCAGGGGATGGGGTAGGGGGAGGATAGAAGAGATAGGACACAACTCTCAGCTTTTGCCACAAAAGGAAATGCCTGCATCTCTGGAAAACATTCCAAGTACATCAAAGCAAAAATTATCTGGCCTGGAAAAATTAAAAGCATTTCCAAAAGATCACATTGATAATCACTTAGTCTTGGTTTCTAGTAAGCTATCTTAGGACCTTGGTAACAGGAATAGTTGGGAAGGGGAGAGGAAGCTGGAACTGAGTGCAGCTCAGCTGCCCAGGGCTTGCTAGGGAAGACACGTGGGCAATTTTCCCAGCAACAGAAGCTGGCCAGACAAGGAGAGCCAGTGGAGACTGCCGCGTTGTCTAAGGGGTGTGGCAAGATCATGCCTGATTCAGGCAATGTTTGCTACAAGGATGTCCAATTCGGCAACAGGAACTTCCTTCTGTAACTGACAGAATATATTAGTGGAGACACTACTGAGCCAAAGTGGAAACAGGAATCCAAAGGACTAGGCTTCACGGAATCCCGTTCCTAGGAAGATGTGATGATTGGATGGGGCACAAATAAAAAAATAGAATCCAAAAAGGATGCAAAAATACTAGCATATGAATCAGAGGATTCAAGCACACTACAGAAAATGTTGGTTAACTGCATATGTTTAGCCATTAGTAGCAGCGGGGAAGGTCACTTAGAGTGTATACACTATCCCACAACCATCCTGGCCAATTTCTTCCTTCTTCATTAGTAAATGGTCTGATTCTGCAAGATTGTTATTTGACAAGTCTCCAATATCACTTCCACCAACTTTATTCAATCTTTGTTTTTTGCAAGATTTGACATTTTACCAGACGATCAGTTTGACTTGCATTTGTATTACACTGTCATGTAATAGGAAGAGATAGACTGGTGCTAGCTAATGCTAGGTGCTAGCTAATGCTACATGCTAGCAAGTGTTACAAAGAGTGAAATGGTTAAATTTTCAAGTGTTTAGTTTATCAGGGAATATTTTTCTGAAGTGACAATGCTGTGGCTGCAGCAACCTGGATGGTAAATATTTCGATAACTCAGATAGGAATAGAATATATTATTAAGACCAAAGCAGAAGTCCTTGCCTATATGGCAGGCTGACCCAGGAGACAGAAAGCATTCATAGCTGGTTAGCACTGAAGGATATTCTATCATTGTCATAACAAATTACCACAAACTCAGCAGCTTAAAACAATATCCATTTATTGTCTCACAGTTTCCTTATGTCAGAAGTCTGGGCCCAGTGTGCCAGAACTGCGTTCTCTGCATAGGGTTATACAGGGCCAAAGTCAAGGTGTCAGCTAGTCTGGGCTCATATCTGTAGGCTGTGGAAAAGAACAAGCTTCAAGGACCATGGTGGCAGAATTCAATTTCTTGCAATTTTAAGGCAGAGGTCCACATTTTCTTGCTGGCTTTCAGTTGGGGGTTGTTCTCAGCTTTATTACATTTATCACTATATGAAATTATCTTGGCCATTTAATAAACAGTTATATTATCTGTGTCCCTCCCTCCAACTACAATTTTACCTTCATAATAAGAGGAACATTATCTGTCCTATCTTTGGACCAAAAATAGTGCCTGGCACAAATATAAATATAAAATCACTTTTTAAAAGTATTTTTTTACAGTTTTAAGTATAATTGATTTAGAGAAAACTGCACATAGTTAATGTATACAATTTAATGGGTTTGGACATATGTATATAGCCATGATATCATCACCACATTTAAGGTAATAAACATATCCATCACCTCCAACAGTTTCCTTGTATCCTTTTTCTGTGTGTGTGTATGAACACTTAACATGAAATTCATGCTATTAAAACAAATTTTTAAGCTCTTCCTTAATTGAATAAAATCTGTTATCTGTATGACTTTTTTGAAAAAATATTTACTTTTAATCATAATTACCAAAATCATTTTATTTCTTCATGTATGCCTTATGTATCTCACCAGAAGAATATTCCTAAGCATTGCATTTATTTCTCTGAAATCTTTATATATAGTAACCACTGAATCGTTCCATTCTGGAGGACTTTATACAAAGGTGAAATGGAGATGGGGGAGAATATTTTTAATGAGTTAAATAAAGCATTTAGCATATATTTATTTTAAGATTTTGAAATGTATGAATGGCTCATGACACTTAATGGCTCATCTTTTTGACTAGATGTTTTTGTATTTCTAAAAGGAATTACTGATAATAAAGTTATATTTTTATTTGGATGATAGCAGTGTTCAAATAGGATCATCACAGCATCTAATTTTAAGTATATTCATGCTCTCTAGTTCTCCAGTAATTAAAATTATTTTTGTGATTTTTTTACATGGCTTTTCCATCAAGTAATTTGAAATGTGTATGCAGTTTTTCCTACAGGACTCTCTTTCATCGGACCTCAATCATTGCCTGCTTATTTGGATAAACAAATGCTGTATTTCATGTCTGAATCAATCTTAGATTTCTACTCAGTGGAAAAAACTATACATAATCAATTTTATCATGGGTTTATTGTGATAAATAAGCTGGAACCATACTTATTATGTCCAATATACTCTGATATTTTTAGAGTTATGAAATTATACCATATGAAACCCAAAACATACATGTCAATGTCAGAGTGACAAATAAAAAATTACAGGAAGCCAATGACATCCCTCTCCCTCAATTAGTATTGTGTGTATGCACATGTGCACACATACACACCAGTGTCCAGAAATTCCAGGACTTTGTAAAGATACTTGTTGGCTTCCTTAAAGAAATCAAGTCCGATACCACATGAGGAGGGGCAGCTAGATCTTGTAGTTTAAGCTGTTGTCTGCTGAGGTTACATATTCCGATCCCAAAGGATACGGGTTTAATTTTATTCAGAATATATAAATTTTCTTGTATATGATGGCAGAAGTGGGAACCATTTAGGGAAGAATTCTTCCAGGCTGTGCCAAGCTAAAAGTAATTAAAGAAAATTATAACACTAAAACATCTAATTGTATATATATGTTCTCCTTGTTATTCCTAGACTTGTAGTGAGCACCTGTTTAGATGTCACAGCTACCCTTCCTATGTGAAGATTCTACCACTAAAGTAATCAATGGATGACTTTCCAGTATCAATTATTCTGACTCAGAGATGAAGAGTCCTAAACCAATTTTGGCCAATGGCATACATGTGAAGAGTTTTGCAGTCTCCTAGGAAAAAGAAATGTCTCCTGCTAGACATTAACAAGGAACCATTTAAACTCAATGACCACTGGTAGCCATCCTGCCACTATAAGGAGGGACCCCACCCTCATATGACATTGACCTTGAGGGCAGCACAGAAGGAAAATTAACCTAGAAATGACATAATTTAAGTACTAATAACACCACATCTAGAAACTTCTCAACTAATGGACTATCAGTGAAATTTTTAAAATCCTTACTTTTAAACATGTTTGAGTTGCAGTTCTTGCTTACCTTCACTCTCAATTATGAACGATATATCAACCACAGAGGCTATTAAAAAACAATAACTATTTCCTTATAGGCTAAGTCAATGCTGTCTCCCATAACTAATCTAGCAATAGTATAAACGATATCCACAGTGACCCTGAAGTATAACAAATCCTCAAATAACCAAGGTGAATTAATTTTTTGTAGAATGTAATTTGTTGGATTCTATTTTTTAACCCATAAGGTCAACAATTTAATTTTTAAATGAGTGGTCGTTGGTATTGAGAGAAAATAATGCTGATATTCAATGCAAATGTTTAGCTCTATTGGTGCCAGTTGACTAAAGATCCCAGTGGGCAAATGAGCCACCTTCATGCACTAAGAACATGCTGCTGACTGACTCAAAATATCAAAGGATGAGCAACAGAGAAAGATCGTTAATCATGTGTGTTTTTGTTTAATGTCAATCAAGCAAAAAGTACCACATTACACAGATGGGGAAGAGAGGGTGGGAAACAAGAAGCAAAACCATCTCTGAAGTTCAAACATTGTTGTTCTTTCTCTTAGGGGAGCATCAACATTGGGAAGGAAATATTCAACTTAGGAACACAGTGACCCTTTACAAGTAGCTGGAAGGAGCACAAAGAAAGAAGATTCAGAAACACTTTTTCTGGCACCAAGTGCAGAAAAAAAAAAAAAAAAGCTTAGTTAAATTTCAGATTTATAGCCCAACTTAATAACTCCCTTAAAAAGAAATAATGTGTTGAATATGTACTAGAAGCCAGAATTGATTAAAATAACTTTAAATGCTTAAACTGTTTTTGTAGTCCCACTTACTGTGAGAAAGATTCTCGCACCTGAAATTAAGCTAAAGAACCAACTTCTAATTGGGAAAACATTTCAACACAATTCCATTGCATAGGTTTTAGAGGTTTAGACAAATAGTTTGTTTAACATTCTGGTTGCTGAGCTAACAGATTCTCGTTAAGATGGAAATTTTTTTGGAAAAAGAAAAAGCCTACAAAATAGAGTTCTGATAAAAGAATTCAAAATGTTGCTTAAAATTTTTCATTTTAATATGGGTCAGAAGCACCCCTTCTTCCTTCTTTGGAATCAGCATTACTCCTGTATGTCATCAAGGCAAGAGAAAGCAGGGAGAATAATACTGGTGCCCAGGTCAGCCACATGGGGCTCCTAAAGGCTAAATAAATGTACTCTTCCATTTAACCCTGAGGTCTAATCTCCACAGCCACTTCTTCAGCTTGTTCTGCTCCCCATACTTTGTTTTTTCAACTGCATTTGTTAAAGAGAACACTGTCTACAACTAGTTTTAGAGACTATAGAACATGAAAAATTAAATTTTTCTCTTAGATAATTAGCAGAAAGTAAAATTTTTTAAAATAGTATAGACAATCATACTGAGAAACGTTTTAAGGGAAATAATAAAAACAGAAAGGAATACTTGAATAAGGGCTTTAACTTTTGGCAGAGTGCAAAAGAGAGCGAGAAAGAATGAAATAAAGTGCTATTGTTTCTGAGATGTCATTGGATTCTCTCTAATCTCCAGAATTTAGATAAAATAAGCTCACACCACCAGAACAACCACACACCCTCACATGCAGTTTCAAGATTCTGATTTTATTTTCGTTCAAACATTTATCATCCTTTGTCTACCCACTATTGCCAAATGTCTTAATCTGTCCAGGTGCCTCCAGTCTCCTATTTTCTAAGTCATTACTCAATAATACTCAGAATAATCTATCTAAAACACCTATTAGTCACCTACTTTAAAAACTTCAATGGCTTTTCATTGCCAAAAGAATAAATCCAAGCCTGTTAGAATGCAAATCATGCTCTTTGTTATCTGACCTTACTTAACTTTTCCAGTTTCATTTCCTACCACTCCTTGGTCACACTTAATATTTCATAAATTCCAAATTAACTGCATGTCCCCATATGTTTGATCTTTCAATGCCTCTTTAACATTGCTGGCCATGCCTACTTAAAACTTGCCTCTAATTCTTTCTTTAATGCTTCTATGTATGCTGCAAAACCCACGTGTCACCATTTCTCTGACGTCCTCTTTAACAAATCCCGGAAGATCAGATTTAAGCTTCTCTCAGACAGAAAATTAAAGCAACTAGTATTCATGTCCTTTATAACCCATAGAAGTTACTATACATGCCAAACACTAGGCCACACACATAGCATTTACATGTTAAACAAATGTCTTCTATTTTAATATTTTTTTTAAAGTATCACTATTAGGCTGTCATTAGTTAATTATATGCTCCATTAGGAAGGTTAATACAAAGATAGTTTTTAATGGCATTGATCATATCTTATAAAACTTACCAAAATATAAGATGCATAATGCTTGCATTGTATAAAGTGATAAAACTTTCAATTATTTACATAAAAATAACCAAATATTAAATTATTGAGAGGATCTTTAAGATCATCTCTAATATTCCTTTCTTCAAATTGAGATCTAAAAAGGTGAAACAAAATACCCAAGATTAGATAGTTAGTTAAAGGCAAAGCCAGAAATGGAATTCTTCTCTTGTGAATCCTAATCTACCTCACTCATGGGGGGTCTGGGATATACCTGAACATGTAACCCTCCTCCAAGTGTTATCTTTGACCTTATTGTCCAGCTCTTTATTCCAACTTCTTTACTAAAATCCCCCTTATCTTTCTCTTAGTGAAGAAACTTGTCCTTAAATTTGGTGTTTAGTGAATACAGTGGTATTTATTAGAAATGTTTTAGCATATGTAGGAATGTAAAAAGATTTGTTCAGATACATTCTCTATGTTTATTTCTAATGAGAGATTAACTATCTTTACAGGATTTTGTAAATCTCCTAGTCATGTAAAGCTTAATACTAATCTGCTATAAATATGGAATTAGATTCAAAGTTAAGAGTCTTAAAAGTTGAATGAACTGAATTTCTATATGTCTGAGAGTGTGCCTGTGGTGTATGTGTCTTCAATTTAATGTTTTTGTAAAAAACATATTTTACAGTTCAAAATTTATGAAGTATAAAATTTCTTTCGATCTCCAATCTGTTCAGTTCCTATCCTCACAAGCAACAGTATATTTAGGTTTTTACTAGGAATATTCTGTAAGAGAGCTTATGCATTTATACACATGGACACACACATACAAACACACATTTTCCTTTTATTACTAAAATGGCAATATACTATAGTACTGTTCTTCCCTTTGCTGTTTTTAGTTACTATGTCTTAGTGGTCTTTCCATAATAGTACACAAAGAGCTACTTTATTATTTTTATTACTACATAGCATTTTACTCTCTCTCTCTGTCTCTCTGTCTCTCTGTCTCTCTCTCTCTCTCTCTCTCTCTCCATATATATATATATCATGATTTATAAAACTTATCCACAACTGATGAACATTTAGATTGTGTATAATCTTTCATTATCACAATAAATAGACTTATGTGTACATCATTCCAGATATATAAGAGGAGAAGTATAAGATCAATTCCCAGATGTTAAACTGTTAGACTAAATGGTATATGCACTAGTAATTTTGGTAAATATGTCAAACTGCTATGAGAGGTACACGATTTTGTTTTATCACAGCAATGGGTGATAACACTTGTTTCCTCACATGTCCTTGACAACATAGTATGTTACCAAATTTTGTGCCTTTGCTTTTCTTATAAGTGAAAGGCTGTTATTTTTAGTCTTGTTAGATTGCCTTGATCTTATCAGCAATAAGGTAATTTTTTTTTTATATTTTAAGAGACATTTATATTTCTTCTGTGAACTATGAGTGCATACCCTTTGTACAATTTTATGTTGAGTGATTAGTTTTTCCTTATCTATTTTTCTCAGGCTGTTAATATTAAGAAAATTAATCCTTTTCTCATAGTATGACTTGCAAATAATGTATTACACTTATTTGTATTTTGCATTTTCTTATGTCAGATTTGCCATATGACATTTTTGATTTGTATATGATAGAATTTGTCAATATTTTCTTTTGGTATTCTGAGTTTTACATTGTTAGAGAAACTTTTCCTACAATAACCTTTCCTATAATTTCCTACAATAAGTAAAACATATTTACTTCATGATTTCTTCATGCATTTTTAGAGTATCATATTTTAATGTAAATATTTAATCTATTTATGATTTATTCTGGTATGAAGTATGGAATCAATTTTATTATTTTTCCAGATAGCAGCTGACTTATCTCAAAACCATGTCTTTTACACACTAATGTAACTGTTCTTGTGAGGATGGATATATATATATATATTTAGCTGGGAAAGAATGAAAATATATTATTTTACTGATGCTTTGCTGATTTGTGGGGTTAACATTATTTGCAAGGATTTATCTTTTTGAGTTGCCTCATGCTAGGAAATCATCAAGTGAGGGACTATTTATTAGAAATGCAGAAAAATTGCAATAAGTAAAACATACAATACATTGGGTACATTGTGTATTAGATCTGAATAGTAATTCTCAGGACTGTGTCCCATATTGGAAGTTCTGTTATACTTTATAGCTAAAGATACAAGGAAATCAACACAAAACAAACCAGAAACATTCCATAAGTAACCCAGATTTATATCAATACAGTCACTTCAATTTTGCTATATTCTCAAAGTCATGATCTAAATATTTACACAAACACAATTTTTTTACACAAACACAAATATTTGGGCATAGTAAAGTCTGCCCAAATATTATTATATCTGGCTATTTGAGCCTGTAACTGCCAAAACTTCCATAATGATACATTGTAAAACTAATCTCGAAACAACAAGCCTTCTAGAAAGCATAGAATTTTCATTTTGCTGATCCAAAAAAAAAGTTAATGTTTGCAAGCAAATAATTGTTGTAATGCTAATGGAATAATGATGAAATATATTTCATCATGTTTATTCCTTGCAATAAATAAGAGTAAAATACAGTGTTTAAACCATGCAAGTTAATTATTTTGATAGCAAGCAAGAAAATGGTGCTTTCCATCTTATAGATTTCTTAGCCCTTCAAATGCTTTTGAGATTCAGGCAACATGGCCTGGCAACCAGATACAGAAATTGTTAAAGAAGCAAAGAGTGGCCTCATAATCACCAAAAATCTGTATTCTTAGCAAAAGAAAAGATAGAAATAGGTTAAGGAGTAGGTTAAATGTTAAGCAGGTTGCTACTGAGGTAAAATAAAGGTTGAGTAAAGAAAATGTGAATTATAGTCATATTATTTATTGGCTCTTGCTATGCAGCTATTAGAGTTCATTTAGTGTTTCTCCTAACTAAAGAGAAAGAAAAATAATCAGGCAGAATTTCTGTAACTGATTTCTAACCACAGAGATACTTTGAAAATTTATTTCAAGCAGAATAACAAATTCATATAATCCTGAGACATCAGTTGTTAAATGAAGACAAGTAGCTTCCCTCCTTTGAAGGCCATTTTATATTCACAAATTCACAGTAGAACTGGAAAGGCAATTTTTCATTTTGCAGTGTCTCTGACTGAACAAGTAAAATTGATACCTTTCTGCTGTCGGTTCTCTGATGGAGCCAAAGTGTCAACTGCATCTTAAATCTGTACAACATTGATTTTTTTAAAACACTAAGAATGTTCTTAAAAGTACCATCTGAAGCTTTCATTTTAAGGTTTACATAAGAGAAAAGGACACCTGCAGGTTGAGGGGAAAACATATTTATTCTCTGGAGAATAAATCTGTGACTGACAGCAGAAATCCAACCAAAACCCAGAAAAATTTAACTTTTTTGTAAGGCTTTGTCTTAGTCATTTTGTATGGCTTTGTCTTAGTCATTTTGTATTGTAATAACAGAATATCACACACTGGATAATTTATATAGAACAAGATTTTGTTTCTTACAGTTCTAGAGGCTGAGAAGACCCAGGTCAAAGGGTCTCTATCTTGAGAGGGCCTTCTTGCTACACCATCCCATGCTAGAAGGTGGAAGGTGGAAGGGCAAAAGAAAATTCATGAGAGAGAGGGGGGAGGGGGTCTAGACTCATCCTTTTATTAGGAACTCACACCTGTAATCACTAACCCTCTCCTGCAATGACAGCATTAGTACACTCTACCCTCATGACCCAATTATCTTTTAAAGTCCCACCTCTCAACACTGTAACATTGAGGATTAAGTTTCCAACATGTGACCTTTGGGGGAGACATTCACGGTTCCTCTAGGAAAATCTAGATATAATTCCATGTCTAGAATGATATAAATTCCATATCTAGACACGTGCATAAACAAGTATGTCTATGTGTATAAGTAATAAAGCATGGATTTACCTGGTTTGTTGTTCTTGCTAAAAAAAAATTTTTTAAGATAAAAAAGAGATCCGATGTAAAAATTAGGTACTACTTTCTAAAATAATAACTTACTAGTAATATGTTATTTAATATTTGAATATTTTCGTTTTGCAATCCTGAGTAAAATATGTGGGACAAAATAAGCACTCATTTGCAAAATCCAAGGAAATAACATATTACTAGCATAATTTTGAATTCTAGAGATATTATTTTCTCTCTATTTAAACTGAGAGAAGTAAATTGAGGTTTAACTAAAACCTGGCCCTTATATATCCAAAGTTTTTCAAGAAATTCTTATTGGCTCAAATGTGACAGTATTATACATTGAAGAGTGGTAGAAATAAGAATAAAAATCTTGAGACCCCTTGTAGTCTGATACTTTTATAAAAGATTATAAAAGAAACCAAGATGCTGACATTTTTAAGAGTGTGAAGCCTACATGTAATAGCCATCAGGTAATAACATGACTAAAATAAAGATGTCATACAAAATTAATCACTTACAATTTATCTACTTGCCATCTATTTGCCTTTTGGTTACTGGCAACTTGGATGGGGGTTAGAGAGAATGAGGGTAGTCAGAGGCAAGAAAGCCTCTAAATAAGGCCTACTGGTTTTCAGATTAATAAACCTAGTGTTAAAAGTCAACAGTGATGGCAGCAGCAGCACATCTGGAGAGGCCACTGTGGGATGTCAGCTGCAGCGGGGGACACGTGGCTGGGGCTGCACACTCCGTGGAGCTAGCTGGGGCCAGGAACAGGTGGGAACCCTGACCCCTACCAAGCTGGTGGGGTGGTAACCTCATGCTCCCAGGTACAACTACAGCTGCCCAGCCACAGCTCTGGACCCCGGGATCCCTGTACTCTCCAGGGACTGGGAAGACCCTGTCCCCATAGGCACAGAAGTGCCTGCTCCCACTCCCTGTTCCCAGTGCCCACTCCAGTGCAGAGCAAAGATGTGGTTGAGCCCAGGCACTACTGCAACCCGCCAGGTGTGCATGCGCTTGAGTGGCACTAATACAACAGCCCCCTGCTGCCTCACCTCCTCTTCTAACTTTGGGTGCTGACAACTGAGAGGGAAGCCAGCAGGGCTGAGGGAGGCTCAGCACAGGCCTGCAGGTGCCCCTTGGCATTAACAGCCTGCATGCCCTGGATGACATGTTGATGGTGGGAGGCAGATGATAGGTTCCTGAGCAGAAAGGGGTGGGTCCCTGGTAAAACCCCACCTTCAAGCCAGGGACAGTCTGAAGCCTGGGGTTCAGGCTCCAAGCCTGGAGTCAGTTGCCAGGAGTTAGGATTTATAGTACTTTTTCCAGCCTGCTCATGGCCGCGCATGGACCAATCAGCAGGCGCGTCTTCCCTCTGAGACCATAAAAACCCTGGACTCAGCCAGACTCTAACAGACTCCAGACTACCAGCTGCAGGAGGTAACGATCTACTTTGGGTCTCCTGGACTCATCCAGACGAACTGCCTGCAGAAAGGAGCTAACTACTGAGGGTCTCCTCTCCACTAAGAGCTGGACACTCATCAGGACAAGCTGCCTGTGGAAAGGAGCTACCCACTATGAGTCTCCTGAGAGCTGTTCTGTAGCTCAGTGAAGCTCCTGCCACCTTGTTCACCCTCCAGTTGTCCACATGCCTCCTTTTCCTGGATGTGGGACAACAACTCAGGACCCACCAAATGGCAGGACTAAAAGAGCTGTAACACAAACAGGGCTGAAACGCATACCCCCACTCACCATGCTGTAGGCGACAAGAAGGAGGGAAGAGCTGCAGCCCTATAGGGACCCCAGACCTAGGGGCTCCCCATGCCGGGGCTGTGGCACCCTCTGTAGCTCTGCAGTTTCTGGTATCTCCAAGCTTCTGGGTGCCACTGCATTTCCCTTGTCCAGACACAGGTGCCTGCAGCAGAAACCACATGTGGTACATTTGGTCCAGTTGCAGCCTCGCACAGAGCTGACACCTGTGCCCAGCACCTTGAGCTGCCTGCCCTGTCACAGCAGCTGGCGTGGCTGGCTCTGCACAGTGGCTGGACCCCACACTCGCTCACCCACACACCCCTCACTGCTTCATGCCTGGCTCACCAATGGCAAGTGTGGGATCCAGGCCGGTAGTGCAAGCTGAGCACAGCCTGCCAGGCTGAGTGGGCAGAACAAGCTCAGTGGGCACAAGCAATATTCAAGCAGAAGGTACCCTCAACAACAGAGGTTTCTGGCTAGAGAAGTGACACCCCAAGGATCCTGTGACAACAGTATATTCATTTGTTTCTTAAATAGAAATGAGGCATTACAGTAAAGACAAATAACAGTGTGGTAACTGTTTGGGAAAGAATACCAGCAAGACACAGAGGCCTTCCTCCTGGTCTCATACCAGCACACAAAGACAGTATGTTTCCATTATATATGTATGTTTATAATATACACAAAAGCAAGCTGAAAGGCTATGACCCAGAGATGGCTTGCTAAAGTGGAGCATTGAGGACTGTTCAGAAAAGACCCATAAGCACATCCAAGTACCAGGTGATTTAAGTAAATAATAAAAAAAAAAGCTCTTTAGGGCCCTTCAATATCAGTGGGTAACCCTTCTGGGAAGCAGATGTAATTAATAGTCTGAAACTCTTTTCCTTTGACCTTAGGCTATACAACCATGTGTCCCTCTCCTAGAAGATAAAATATGCTGAAGTAAAAGAAAATGAAGTCCCTAAACAATCTCTTGATTGGGAGATTTTAGGGAGAGTCTAGCAACTAGCTTTCTATGTTTCTATGACAAAATAAAAATATACCTGTTACCTATGCTACAACTGTGAGAAAGAAGATAGTGATCTCATGTTACATGAAACAAGATTCAGTGAGCATCATGAGGTCACCATAGTCCCACCAACTCTTCCAGAGGTTCCAAAATGTGGCCCTAATACCCCACAAGCACAGGAAACCAAAGCAAACATGGACCAATAAGATCATGTCAAGTTAAAAAAACTTCTGCACAGCTAAGGAAACAATCAACAAAGTGAAGAGAAAACCCAAAGAATGGGACAAAATATTTGCAAATTACCCATCTGACAAGGGATTAATAGCCAGAATAGATAAGAAGCTCAAACAACTCTACAGGAAAATGATTTAATGATCCAATTTTTAAATGGGCAAAAGATTTGAATAGACATTTCTCAAAAGAAGATACACAAATGGCAAACAGGCATATGAAAAGATGCTCAACATTATTGATCATCAGAGAAATGCAAATCAAAACTACAATGAGATATCATCTCTCCACAGTTAAAATGGCTTGTATTTGAAAGACAGGCAATAACAAATGTTGGAGAGGATGTGGAGAAAAGGGAATCATTGTATTCTGTTGATGGTAATCTAAATTAGTAAAACCACTATAGAGAACAGTTTGGAGGTTCCGCAAAAAACTAACAATAGAGCTACTATATGATCCAACAATCCCACTGCTTGGCATATACACAAAAGAAAGCAAATCAGTATATTGAAGAGATGCCTGCACTCCAATGTTTTTTGGAACACTGTTTATAATAGCTAAGATTTGGAAGCTACTTAAGTGTTAATCAACAGATGAAAGGGAAAAAATGGGGTACATATACACAATGGACTATTCAGCCATAAAAAAGAATGAGATACTGTCATTTGCAACAACACACATGGAACTGGAAATCATTATGTTAAGTGAAATAAGCCAGGTAGAGAAAGATAAACATTTCATGTTTTCACTTACTTGTAGGATACAAAATCAAAACAATTGAACTCATGGACACAAAGAGTAGAAGAATGGTTACCAGAGGCTGAGAAGGGTAGTAGGGAGTTGGGTGGGGAAGATGGCTAATGGGTACAAAAATAGTTAGAAAGAATGAATAAGACCTACTATTTGATGGTACAACAGGGTGACTATAGTCACCATGGATAGTATCTAAATTGTCTTGGATTGAGAATAGATCAAAATTAGGCCTATCATGGAGAGGAAAAGAAATTCTTAATTGTGGAAGCTTCCAAGTCAATAGCTCTTCACTACGGAAGTCATGGAAAGCAATTTCAAAGACATGTACTGATGAGACCTCACCCCCTACTTGCCATCCTCACTGTGATCACTTCGAGAGCCACTATGCAAAGCCATCATATTCAGAAAGAAACAAAATATTACATATTGGCTACACTGTACACTGCTCAGCTGACAGCTGCACTAAAATCTCAGAATTCACCACTATAGAACTCATATACGTAACTAAAAATCACCTGTACCCTCAAAAACTATTGAATTTTTTTTCTAAAAAAGAAAAAAGCATCCAGAAAACACAAAGACATTTCTTTTTAAATCCTGGAGGGAGAGCAAGTGGAGATTTACAACATGACATGGGTTTAAATTGTGAGGAATAATACTTATTACATATTCTTCAAGCAAGGATTCAAGTTCCATCTCAACACTTAAAAGTATGTATAGTGTGTTCAGCTTGTGAGCTGCACTGGAGAAGAGTCTGACAAGTTAATAATTACTGGGTTAGGGATGCAGGTGTGCATCCACACCACCTGCCTCTCTTTCCTGCAGACCACAGGGAGAGGGTTTTGTCCCAGCACAAGACTCAGCCTCCTTCTGTTGATCCAGAGTTTAGTTCTTCTTTTCTCTTGTTCTAATCTTTTCAACATTGCTTCTGGCTTTCTCTATTGCTTAGGAATATATTCACATTTATTTAATATTTTTTTAAAAAGGCAAAACAAACAACAAATACCAAGTTATTTTTGTTCCCCTGTAGCTACTTAAAATTTCCTCTTCTCTCCCTCCCATCTAAGCTTCCTCAAAGAAGTCTACTCTCCATCTGCCTTTTCTCTCACCTCTCACTTATTGTTCAAAGTATTATAATTATTATAAACTATTATAATTATTAGATTATTATTATATTATATAATTTATTATTCAAACTATTATACTTGTATAATATAAAATTAGGGTTTTATTCCTGAAGCTGTTCTCAAGAATATCACCAAAGGCCTCCCTACTGCCAACACCAATGAACAGTCATTTTTTCATTCAACCCCTCTGCTGTATTTTGCACTATTGTCCATTTATTTTTCTTGCATTCTTTCTCTAATCTTATCCTCTTCTAAAAATGGCTCTTACCAGTGACTCCCTACAGGTTACACTTATAAAATATGTGTTACAAAATATAAGAGCGAGGTTAAAAACTTCAAGTTTCATCTCAATCTGATCTTCACCTAGTAGTGAGCTACAAAGGAATGAACATGTCAACTTCGTATAACATTCAAATAAGCTAAGCCATTCTGGAATAAGAGCATTCTATTCTGCCTGGAATGTTCTTCCTCTCTTCCTCACTGGTTGGCAGTTGGGGTTTCAGAAGGTAAATATATAGCCTCCCTCTCTTCTCTGTCTGAATTGGAAAACCCTTTCAGAGATAGATACAATAACCAGGCAGATGGAGAAATATATTTATTCCTGATAACATTGATTGTAGACACATGGCTTAAGTCAACAACAGCAGCAGGCTTACTTCCCCTGAATTCGTTACACTACCAGTGTATAGGAAGATAATCTCAGACTACACCTTCCCCTACCTACTACTAACCATCTTTCACAGCAGAGAGAGAAATGAAATTTCACCCTTCCTTTTGGTAGGCAGATAACCAAAGGAAAGAGAGATGTAACTGATATGGTTTGGCTGTTTCCCACCCAAAATCTCATCTTGCATTGTAATCCCCATAATCCCCACATGTCAAGGGAGAGACCAGGTGGAGATAATTGAATCATAGGGGCAGTTTCCCCCTTGCTGTTCTTGTGATAGTGAGTGAATTCTGATGAGATCTGATGGTTTTATAAGGAGCTTTTCCCCTTTCGCTCCTCTCACTTCTCTCTCCTGCTGCCTTGTGAAGAAGGATGTGTTTGCTTTCCCTTCTGTCATGATTGTAAGTTTCCCGAGGCTTCCCCAGCCATGCAGAACTGTGAGTAAATTTAACTCCTTTCCTTTCTAAATTGCCCAATCTCAGGTATTTATTTACAGCAGTGTGAGAACAAACTAATACAGAGACCCATGCAAACTTGGATTCTTCTATTAAACTCACCAATCAGTTATGGATTTATTCTTGCAGGGGGAAGGATGAATAAGGAGTGTAGGAAGCAGTGTGGCATCCTACAGGTGTGACTCTATGAAAGCATTAGCACAGCACAGTGACCAAGAACATGGCCTCTAGAACATTATTGCCTGGACTTGAATCTCAGCTATATTAATTAGTAGCTGTATTTGTTTGGACAAGTTCCTTAGCTTCCTTGTGCCTCCATTTCCTCATACATAAAATGGGAAATTAGTATTATTTACTTCATAAGATGGAAAAAATTAAAAGGAGTTAAGAAGGAGAATTAAATAAGTATTTGTAGAATACTTAGAATACTACCCAGCATATATTAGGAATATATTCACATTTATTTAACCTAGCATATAGTAAGTTTTGTAATGAAAATTTTCAATCTGAGAAATGATCCACAATAGTTCCCTAGGAAAAATCATTTGTATTATGATAATATTTTAAATATGTGCCTTGAAGATAATATAGATCTTTATATAGTTTTTATTCATTGATATACTAGTCTCTCACACTAAGATATGAGCATTTTGTGTTTGATTATGAATTTTCTTCATTCTTGTATCTATAGCTCCTCGCACACAGTGTATATTCAGTTTTTTATTCAAGTAATGAATGTTTTAATTTTTAAATGGTTTTAATCCACTTTGTGGTGGAATTAAGTACCTGGATTAAAGACATAATTTTCTTCAAAAGATTGATATGCTTGTTTTATGCCACCAAAAACACTTCAGTTACATCAAATTTATAGATTGTGATTGCTTTTGTAGAAATTAAGTTCTACTAATAGAGCATTTAACAGAAGAATAAGATTTTTAAAAAATTACAATAAGATTCATTTATCAGTTGAGGTTGTAATGACAACAGATGGCACAGTCAAATTAGTACACTTCGAGAAGAGTTTATTTATGAAAGGACTATTCACTAAGGGAATAGAGGAAGAATACAGGGTTACCAGCAGCTAAGGTGTTACCACCCCAAGGTCCAAAGGGACAACCAGAGGAGGGAGAGTTTTCCAGGACCAGTTTGGAGAGCCATGTAGAATGGCATGTTTGGAGAGAAAGAGGAACTTTCAGGTACATGACACAGCAAGAAATAGGCAATCTCCAGGGAGAAGCCAAGGGAATACACACCCCAACCTCACTTTCTGCCCTCACTCTGATCTCCTGCCACAACTCTCCATGGGCCAAACTCGACCAAAAGCCAGTGAGCTAGAAGTCCTGTTGATGTGTTCATTCAGTTCACCTTTCCAGGGCAGAGAGTAAGGTAAACAGTAGATAGAGTGTCCAGTACAGCATAGTAGACAAAGTTCCCAGGAGGAATTAGATAACCAATTTGCTTAGCTTTGTTCTTCCATATAAATACTCCACAACAAATATAATTCACTAAATTAATATCATTAATTTGTCAAAGATTTATTGAATGTTTAATGTGTACAAGAACATGCAGTAAGTTTTGGTGATACAAAAAAGAATGAGATGGGGTTTCTCCTCCCAAGTAGCTTACTGTGGAATGGAAGACCAACACAGAACAATGCAGAAAATGTTATAACAAACAATGTATAAAGCATTACATGTTTAAAATTTTTAAATACACTTGAATGTAGGAGGATACTATTAGTAAACCTATTAGTATACTTGCAAATTAATAGCACCTGTTTCTGTACACTCAAAATAACAATACTTCAGCTTGACTCTGAAAAAAAATACTAGTCACATTTAAATAATATAGGGTCTTTCATAACTAGTAAAACTAATTATTAATCAACAATTGGCAAAAACTGCAGAGAAAAATGCCAGAATAATCACTGCTCTAATACAAACTGGATTTTTACTGAGAAGTCACAAAGAAACAAAGTCGGTTTTATATTTCTATAAACATCACAAAATACAAATAAAAAAGATAACATTTACACAAACTTTTAAATGATCCTTGTTAGATTTATAAAGTAACAACAAAACCAGCAATTAATCATTAAAAATGATTTAATCTGCTCTACTCATATACATATTTAATTACATTCAATAATAAAATATTTTAAAAGAAACCCCAATATTTTGGTGTAAATAAGTTATTTACACCAGTGTAAATAAGTTATTTAACAGGATGTTAAACAAAGCTCTGTATAAAAACACAAAGCATATTCTATGAGTAGCTAATATGTTAAAACAGCATAATTGATAGTCTGTTCCAAAAACGACAATTAATATAAAAGGAAACATTGTTTCTTAAAACAGCCTTTAGTTAAATCCAATCCTGCTAATATAAAGAAGAATGCCTTATGAAAGTATTTGAGCTCAAACTTTATTTTAATAAAGAGGTAAAAGAGCTAACAAAATAGAATTCTGGTGACTAACATGAACTGTAACTTTATACTACAGAGGATCAAGAAAATCAATATCAAATTCTCCTCAGAAAAGCATCCATCTCTGTTTTTCCTTTGTTAAACCCTCCACACTTCTGCGTAGCATGTTGGAATATGTGCAGTAAAATTCAATGTCTTCAAAACAGTTTTCCTTTCGTTCACTGATAACCAAAGTTATCTGAACAAAGAAGTATGAGCAAAATTTCAGATAATACCACTGATCTATTGTCTTCCACAAGGGCTTAGGCTAAGTGCTTTCAAGCTTCCAACATCAGAAGCATGGAGGACAGACATTCGTAGAACCTTGAGTTCTACATTAAATTTACAAGTTGCTAATTTATAGTATGCCTTAAAAAGGCAGGGCAAGGTATCACATTAGTAGAAATCCCCATCAGGTCTTCATTGAGCTAATGAATAAAACTAAAAATCTGGGAATTAAATTAATTTGAGAGGAAATGTAGGGTAAATGTAGCATTTCCAGAATAAGCTAGATTGGTCTGCCAAATTTGATTACCAAACTCCTTCTGTATCTGAACATTAATATTCCTATAATGAAATAATTACACAGTTACAATAATCCAATAAATGGCAAGCAATAATGTTTATAAGGAATCAGAATGGTGGAGTAGGGAGGGCCTCAATTAGTGCAGGACCTTGAGAAAGGAAAAGAAGTTTTATTTGATGCAGAAATTGAAGATAATATGTATAAAAATAAGGAGTCATGAAAAAATACTTAAGGTTAGAGACTTGCAGTCTGTGTGTGTGTGTGTGTGTGTGTGTGTGTGTGTACATACAGGTATAAGGCAATAAAAGTATGAACAAAGTCAATCATTCATTTAGTAATTATTTACTCTTTACTGCACACATTGTGTTAGGTAGACACCCACTACTTAACAGTTAATTAGACAGACATGGTTCTTGTTTTCTTGGAGCTTTCAGTCTACTGTAGGATACTGACAAGTAACAGAATTCATTATAATGTCACATGACAGGTGGTATGATGTGTGTGATGTGAGACATTTGGGATCAACGGTAGCAATTGGAAGAGGCACCTAAAATAAACTGTGATGTTCGAGTAAAGCTTCCTAGGGGGAAGTGCAGTCAACTGATAATGAAAGTTCATATTGAAGTCAGGTAAAAGTGATGAAGGATGCTTTTTGAGACTGAGGAAACAGAACATGCCAAGGTCCTAAGGTGAGAGAACATGGCATTTTCTTGGGTTTGAAATTATTTTATCCTGAATAAAGCCTAGACATTGGAGAGCCAATAGTGGTAAAAATGAAACTGGAAAAATATGAAGATCAGCGAGGTTAGGACACTGAGGGCCTAGTATCTCTTAAGGCTGGGTGTACATAAGGAAAGGAGAAGTGTGAGAAGCCTTTAGTACAGAAAATAATAAGGTATGTGAGAAAGCCACAGCCTCTAGAGCTCTATCTCCTTACCTATGCAGTGAGCAGGGAGGGAACGTTTGACTCGATTTCTAAGAGGTATGATAAGCTCTGACACTCTGAATCCCTGCACTAGTAGAATGTGACAATAAAACCATACTGTGAAGCAAAGAAATATCCCTATAAAGGCAGAAGCCTGGTTATAAAATGATCTCTTCATTATAAAATCACAGACACATCAAATAAAGTTTTCAAGCATAGCAATCTGCATCGTTTACCCAGGATAAAGCCTCCTCTTAGTCAAATACACCAAGAACAGAAACCCAAAGGGGACCCATTAGCTCTGCATAAGTTAAGGTATGCCCGAAAAAACACAAGCTCAGTGCAAGCACTTCTGCTTAGCCACTGAAATAAGGAAATAAAAGAGTTTAGATTATTGCATTTTTGTTGTTGTTTGCAGAGTACTTCTCTATAAATAACTTTCCAGAGTTAAGCTGAATACTAAGAGTTTCAAAAATGTTTAATGGGTGGCTCTTAAGTACAAAAAACGTCAGGTAATGAGATGTGAAATTATCCTGGCACATTTAATTCCTTTGCTGTTACATGGTTTTGGTGTTTACTGAACATATGGAATACCTGGATAAAATGGTTTTTATGATAAATGCAATCAGATGTCACGTTGCAAGCATGCTTCTGTCATAATAAAAGAGACCCAAAAATTCTATGTGAATAAATTGCTGGTTTGAGAATCAGAAAACACTAGTTCTAGTTGTATTTCTCCTACTTGTTAGATGTGTGACACTGGACAAGTGACTTAGTCTCTGTTGGTTAGTTTCTTAGCTATAAAATAATGGAAATATGAATAGCACTGGAGTCAATTTCACAACTAGTTTATGAGCTTCCCTGGAAGCATGGATGCAAAAGTAGTTTTCAAATCCTAAAGTGTTTTACAAATCCACGAGATTATTATAGACACTGTACACTCACATCTGAACAAATTAAAAATACAGAAGGCATTTTCATTTCTGATTGAACCACAAAATAAGAATGGCACATGCTATCATAGGCAATATAAAAGAAGAAAGCACAAAGACTCAGTGTGGTCCTCAAAGTTTTTAGACTATTCAGAAGTAGAATGTTTCCTTCTAAGCACATAAGCATGATCCACACATCCAATTCCAGACAGCAACCCAGAGAAGCAGAAATGCCCACATGGAAATGCCACGAACTCTCTTCCCAATTTTCCCCTACAGCCCCGAGTAGGCTAGCCCACAGAAATCAGTACCCAGCAGCTCTTGAAAACTGAAAAATGTATAAAGGAAAGCTTTTACCACATACACTGGAAAAATAGCAAATAATTTCTAGCCTCAGGAAAATTAAAATATTTTAACCTAAAGCTATTGGTGGTGGTGGCAGCATAGTTTTTATCTCTCTGAATAATCCCTGAAATAATTTCTGAAATATATCATTTTGCTATCTTGTTGATAGATCAAGCAGTCAAATTAGATAGATCAACGAGGTAGCAAAACCCAAAACACAGAAGCAAATTTACAATTGCTAACAAAGTATCCCAAACTCCAAAATACAAGTAAGTAGTAATAAACCACTAACAGCCACAAAACCTACATATCAGTGACTATGAGGAGAAAACAGAGTGAAACAAAAAGGCCAGGGAATGACCTGAGAACAGGAGAACATCCATGTCCAATGAGTGTTTGCAGGAAGGCACAGTGGCCAACAGATAACAGCAGCTGAGTGATTATGTCCAAAACAATAACAGAGGCATGTAAGAGCCAAAGGTCAGCTCCACAATGTCTCAAGCAGCCTGAGCACCTCCAAACTCTCACACTAACCAGCCAGGGCTCTTTTCCAAAAGAGGACACTACACTGAGGAGAAACAGCTGGCAGTGGATTCAGCAATGGACAGGAAAAAGTCAACAGGGACAAAAGAGAAAGAAGATATAGATAAAAGTAAAGAAGAGAAAGAGAGCCAAGACAGAAAGCAAACCACCATATTTTAAAGGCGTGAAAACAAGAGAGGGAGTTTGGTGACATTATAAAAGCAATCCTGAACTAAAAGTTCCTTCTCTAAAAATTCACGGAAATCAATTTTGTGTAAATATGAGCAAAACAAGGATTAAGGCCAAATCCCATAAAAACTTATTAAAGAAAAAAGATAGTAAAAAACAAAATAACATACTAGAGACAACGAAAGTATGCCAAAAAGAAATGTTCAGAAAACAAATCAAAACTCTAACCTATTATTTCATAACAAGCTAAAAGATACTAAGAATACAAGACTTGAAAAAGCAACATAAATTAGAATTAGAAAACACCACCAGCTGATAAATCTCAAGATGAAATTGGACATCAGAGAACAATAGTTTCAGGAATGAAGATTAAACTGGAAGGAAGAAAAAAATAAGTAAATGTAGCACAAAACACCTTGATAAGTAAAAGGTAAAAAGGCAGGAAAGAAATAAATAAAAGAATTAAAGAAGATAAAGGATGAGTAAAAGGGACAAATATTGAAGACAAAAATACTTAACATATGAATAACAAAAATCTCTGAAGAGAAAAACTAAAGCAATGAAACAGAACAAATACTAAAAATATAACTAAAACATTTCTGAAATAAAAATATAAGTGATTTAAAACTAAATATTGAAAAAGTGGACCATGTAACTGACAAATCAAGAACAATCAACATCAAAATGTATTCCAGTAAAATTATTGAACTGAAAAAAAAAGAAAAGAAAATGTCTGTTGGGAATCTAAAGAAAAAAGAAAGTGACTTATAAAGGAAAGAAAATTAGATAATCATTAGACTTTTCAAATTCAATGCTTTATGTCTTAAGAAAATTCAGTAACATATTTAAGATAGACAAAGAAAGAGTATATATGCCAAAGATTTTATATTAAAAAAAGAATTTCAATTACAAAAAGCATAGACAAAATGCTACTAACATGCAAAGACTCAGGGAATATTGCTCCCACAAACTTTTCGAGAGGAATCTATTACAAACTGAAATTCAATTTAAAAAAAATGACTAGAGTGCTTTCAAGATAAATTCTCATGGTTAGTTGTAGAACTAATACTAAATGGGGTTTAAGAGGAAGGAACTATAATAAGTTTCACTATATGACCTGACAGTGTAGATATATCACAACTATTTTTTAAAGGAGGGGGGAATATGGGGAGAACAAATGAAAAAATAAAATTGGTAGTAGTTGTGTTGATATTGTTATCCTGAGACTTTTTATGCATAATTTGGAATAAAGCAAATGGGTAATTTAGGGATATTATAATTCCACCTTTCTTTGTGTCCTGAAAAACCACTGTTTTCAGTGTGTAAGAAATAAATTACAGATGTAATATAGAAGACTTTAAGTAGAAACCCTAAAGTCCTAAATTGGAACTGAAAGTATTGATATTAACACTCTCATTTATGTTATCTTTAGATAGAAAGGCAGCCCTGTTCACTGTAAAGGCCTAGAAACAATAACCAATCCAGCAGTAATGAACATTCTTAGTGTCCAGAATATGATCTTGAACTACAATTTTTCTAGGTCTAGGGCAGGAAATGTGCAAGATAAGCCTAAAACATCTTGTCACGCAGGATAGCAAGGGAACAATCAAAAACATGTTCAAAGAACTCAACAGCCAACTTGAAGAAACTACTCATGTCCAAAGTTTCAGCTTAAGGTGAAATAAATAAGGTAAGAATTACAATGAACTAAAACTGATAAAATACGTTTAAATTAATCATGACACTTTATAAAAATTAATTGAACAATTTCAGAGGATGATAGATAACTAATTCATTATCTTAAAAGTCAGTACCTTAAAAACTGGTAGATAAAGGGAAAGGAAATATTTATTCTGACTTTCCTTTATGAACTGTACCACTGAGTAATCAACTAGTAGATGCAGAGGACAGCTTCCTTTTTTTTTTTTTTTTTTTTTTTTTTGAGACAGAGTCTCACTCTGTTGCCAGGCTGGAGTGCAGTGGTGCAGATCTCGGGCTCACTGCAACTTCTGCCCCCTGGGCTCAAGTGATTCTCCTGACTCAGCCTCCTGACTAGCTGGTATTACAGGCATGTGCCACCACGCCCAGCTAATTTCTGTATTTTTAGTAGAGACGGGGTTTAACCATGTTGGCCAGGCTGGTCTCGAACTACTGACCTCGTGATCCATCCACCTCAGCCTCCCAAAGTGCTGGGACTACAGGCGTGAGCCCCTGCTCCCTGCCAAAACAGCTTCTTATACAGGCAATCCAAATATTAAATTTAAAAGGAATGGTAAAATAGGACTATCGCCATTTTGCAACAACAATAAATTATTGGATCTAGGCACTGAGCATCAAATAACTACTAAATCACAAAAGAGAGACAACCAAACATTATTTGTCTCCTGGAATGAATGAATGAATGAATGAATGAATGAATGAATGAATATGTAATCTTGTCACGGGGATCCAATTTGAGTCTGATCAAATCTGAGAAGCCAACTACCATTTGGAAATACACAGGACAGAGAAAGAAAATGGAGAGAGAAACAAATTGAACTGTACCACAAGTATACAATCAGCAAAATACAGGGTGTGTAGAACTCTACGGCTCAAATAGCCTTGGATTTTTTTAAATAAATTGAGGCCGGGCATGGTGGCTCATGCCTATAATCCCAGCCCTTTGGGAGGCCGAGGCAGTAGGATAACCTGAGGTCCTGGCCAACATGATGAAACCCCATCTCTATTAAAAATACAAAAATTAGCTGGGCATTGTGGTGGACGCCTATAATCCCAGCTACTCGGGAGGCTGAGGCAGGAGAATCACTTGAACCTGGGAGGCGGAGGTTGCAGTGAGCCAAGATCACACCACTGCACTCCAGCCTGAGTGACAGAGCCAGACAGAATCCGTCTCAAAAAAAAAAAAAAAAAAAAAGAAAGAGAAAATAAATTGAATAGAAAAGAAAGTGATTGGAGGAATAATCTTTTGATTAAAAGACATTTTAAAAATATATTGAGTTTTTTAAAAAGTGAGCAACAGTAAAGAAGAACCTCTAGGATGTAGCCATACTGATTAAGGTATAAATAAATGCAAGGGAATAATTACTATAAAAGTCAAGATAATGGTTATTTGGGGTGGGAAGGAGGCAGATGTAAATGGAATGAGACACATGGAGGGCTTATGGGATGTGTGAATAATAATTGACTTCTTAATGTGCAGATGGTAATTACTGAGATGTTTGCTTTTCAATACATACTTCACTAAGCTATACATCAATTTTATATAGTTTTCTGTATTGTGTTTTATTATTTAAAAAGAATTTCAAAAATTCTGTCCAATTATTTATAACTTCATGATTAACTACACATTAGTTTATTATGAAGAAAGAGCAATATTCTAAAGTATTTTAATTACCTAATAAACACACCATTATTAGCCATTTGACAAAAGCATTCACACATTAATGTGTAACCAGCTACTTACTTTTATTAAAAATAAAAAACCTACTCATTTTATTTACCCTCAGAAAGTGCAGTTGTTTGCAAATATGAAAATAAAATGGCATGATTATTTTAGCTAATTTAAAACGCAACCAAAGCAATGTTATACTTCTAGATTTCAAGCTTCTAGCCCTTTTTGTTGTGAAACCTTTCAGCAAACTATTTAATTTCTATATGGAGCTGCCTTGTCCTTCAGTCAGTAAACTCATTAAGTGCCAAATTATCTAATAATTCAATTATTGGATATCTGTTTAATTATTGAGAAACACTGTTGGTGTTTTGCACTCAAACGACATTTCGATACATATTAACAATAAGGTATCATCATAAACACTTATCATCAGAATGAAAAAAAAAACTGCTGTATTTTTCAAGCTTATTTTCATTTCTGAGAATATTTCCAAGAAATACAATTATGCCTCAAAATGGCTTAAAGTTAACTGTCAATCATTCTTTATGTATAGTATATCAAAATTCAATAATGTGGATCACAGAAGTCAAGAGGACAAGATTTGAGCCAGCAGAATCTCAGCTGAATACTGATCCTTAACTTTCTGTCTGTGGAAACTGGTCCTGTTTCCTCATATTATAAAATAGGGATTATTTCATTTATTTTACCAAACTATGATAATGATTAAAGGAGATAATGAAAACAAAACATTTGTCACAGCAAATATATATATATATTTATTAATGCTTCCAAATATTTAATATTCATAAAATTAACAAAATAATTGTATTTTATTAATGCATCCAAAATATTTGAATGTATATATGTACATATAATCCAAAATATTCAAATATTTTGGAAGCATTAATAAAGGCTGACACCATATTTTAGTGGAAGTTAGTGGAAGTGAGTTGCAATACAAATCTGGAAGACTAGACTGTATCCTCTTTCAGTGTAGAAAAATAAGAAAGTAAGGTTAGGTATCAGCAATTTTAGTCATATAATTAACATTACTAAAATAAAAATACTCAAAAAATGTTTTAGTAAAATACTGAGTCATTTTTTATTTCACTAATCTTATATTGATTTAAAACAATGCTCTTCATAAGGACTTAAAAATCTTAGTAAATATCGTCTTATTGGCAATAACTCAGAAAAGTCATTATAAGTTCTGACATTTGGAAAGTACAGAGATATGAAAGTAAACATTAGCTGCTTAATAATAAAATTCTATAGATATTTCCTAAGTAGTCCATATTAAATATATTTAACTTCAGAGATATTACACAAAAATAATAAACTTGGAAAATAACTGAACTATGAAGTAGAAATAAAATGTCAAAGAAAGCTTGAATCAGCATATGAGAGAACACTACAAAAAGAATTTTAATAAAAAGAGAGAGACCAACAGATCAATAAATAATTTAACATATGTAACTATCAAGGCAGCTATCTGGAAAAAGTGCAGGCTTTGAGGTCAGATCAGGCCTTATTTTGAATACTGTTTCCACCACTTACTGAGAGACGTCGAGTATATTACTTAAGCTCTCTAAGATGTGGCTCTCCTTAATGAAAATAATATATACTTCATAGCATCTCTATGGAGGACAAATGAGTTCGAATATATTTGCACATTATAAAGACTAAATAAATTATAACTAAAATAATAACTTTAATAGGATGTTATCTTTTATAAATTCCATGAATAAGTCATTTATAAAATTCTGGGTACATAAAACTTAACCATATATTGGACTTAGGTCAATTCATTTTTAAGGCCTGAATGCAGAGTATGCTATGAACATTCTGAATGGACTTGACTAGCTTTATGGAGGTTTTTTTTTCTATTTTATTGATTTAGGCTCTTCTCTTATTTTCTTTATTCTACTTCAGGTTTAATTTGCTTTTGTTTTCTAGATCCTAAGGATAGAAATTCAGACCATTGGTTTTAAATGTCTCTTATTTGAATATAAGCTTTTAAAGCTATATATTTCCCTCAAAACACTGTTTTAGCTGCGTTCTACAAATTTTGATATATTTTCTCTTCATCATCATTCAGTTTGATATATTCTACATTTCCCCTGTGATTTCTTCTTTGACTCATGTGTTCATTAGAAGTGCATTGCTTAATTAACAAATAATTGAGACTTTTCTAATTCATTATTTTTATTTCTAAGTGAATTGTGTTGTGCTCAGAGAATATAATCCACAAGATTTCAGTCTTTTGAAATGTACTGATATTTATTTTGTGGCCTAATGTATTGTTTAACACTCCATTAGTAGGTAAAAGGGATATATATTCTGCAGTTGTTAAGTGTAATGTTATATAAATGAAAATTAGGTTAAAGTGTTGTTTGGATCTTCTATATTTTAACTGATTTTCCAACTATTCTTTATATTATTAATTACTGAGAGAAGCGTTATATTATTAATTACTGAGAGAAGCGTA
The DNA here is from genome assembly GCF_000001405.40 of Homo sapiens. Lineage (NCBI taxonomy): Eukaryota > Metazoa > Chordata > Mammalia > Primates > Hominidae > Homo > Homo sapiens. The sequence continues at coordinate 97,472,590 of NC_000005.10, read as the reverse complement.
TTAATGTTCTCAACTATTTTTCCTATTTCTCCCTTTAGTTATTCTTTTTGACTATTACTTTTGAAACTACATTATTAAGTACACATATTTTACATTGATGGCAGTGGCAGGCCGTCCATAGAGGCCACTTCTATCATGTTGACTGCAGTAGGGAGGCATAGGAGGTGACAGCAGGAGTGGCTGCAGGAGCAGCCGTGGCAGCAGTGGGAACCCTGTGCCCTACACTCTGCATCCCTGAGGCAGCTGACTGTGCCACCCCCACCATTACCCGGCTGGGCAGGACACACCTTCAGGCTTGGATCCTCCTCCGCTCCAGACCCTGGCCCCATGTCACTGCTCTCACCCACCACCAGTGTGGGAAGGGCGTGGGGAAAAGTCAGACAGTCCCCAGAGCCCGCCCTTGGGAGCCCCGCAGAGCCTGCCATCCTAGGGGCCACTGCGATGGGGCTGGACCAAGCCACCCACCAGCAGAAGAGCAGCATAGTTGGGCATCGTGGCGGTCCCCAGAAAGACCCTGAGGAGTTGGCATCCCCACCGCTGCCCCTCTTGCCTGCACCACCATTGGGACCTGCCTCCATCACCGCCATCAGCACCACTGCCAGCACCAGGGATGACATGGTCCTACTGTGAGCTATGTGGTTCCTCCTGGAGCCAGGGCACAGCCTTGGCAGCTCAGGCGACACTCCCAGCTGGGGTCAGCACTCACATTGCCAACTGCTCCTTGGGTGCACCTGCTGGGGACCATGGCACCCTGCAACTGCTGAACACTTAAATGCAGAACAGGAGGGGGCCAGAGTGAGTGGCCAGAGAGGGGCCCAGTGAGGACCTGGAGCCCCCGCCCCAGGCTGCAAGGAGGTGCAGCCAGGGCTGCATGCTCCATGGAGCTGGCAGAAGCTGGGGACAAGTGGGAGCCCTGTCCCTTCCAAGTTGGTGGGGCAGGAGCTCCCCAGGTGCAGCTGTAGCCACCTCCCACAGCTCAGGCCCTGGGAATCTTCATGCTCTTGGGGGCCAGGGAAGGCCCTCTGTCCCCAGCAGGCTCAGAGGTGCCTGCTCCCACTAGCTGGCTTCTTCCCACTGTCAGAGCCTGCTCCAATCTCAGAGTGAGATCAGGGCTGAGCCTGGGCATTGGCCAGGCCAGGTGTGCCCAGGCTTGGGGCAGTGATGACATGACAGTCCCCTGCCGCCTCAGCCCCCTCCCAACTTTGGGCACCAATAAGCATGGGAAGGAGGCAAAGGGAAGGCTGAAGACAGCCTGGCACTGGCCTGCAGGCATCCCTTGGCATTAACAGACTGGGTGCCATGAATGGTGGCAGGAGACAGGCTTCTGGGCAGAAGAGAGCAGGTCCCTGGTGAAGCCCAACCTTCAGGCTGGAGAGGGCCTAAAGCCTGAGGGCTGGGCTGACAGTCCTGTGGACCAGAGGGGGAACTTGCAGTGCTTTTCCTTGGGTCCATCCTTAGCCACCCCTGAACCAACCAGCATGCACTTCCTCCCCTGTAAGGCCCATAACCACCCCCCAAACCCCTGGACTCAGCCAGGCTGGAAGAGAGGACAGAGAGACAACAGGGAGACAATAGGATGACCTGCCTGCTGAGATGAGCCACCCACTCTAGGGCCTCCTCTCTGCTGAGAGCTGCAGAGACAACAAAACCACCTGCCTGCAGAGAGGACCTCCTCATTCTAGCATCTCCTCTCTGCTAGGAGCTCAACACTTGTTGGGACACCCTGACTGCAGAAAGGAGCTACCCACTGCACATCTCCTCTGAGCAGTTTTATCACTCAATAAAGCTCCTCTTCATCTTGCTCACCCTCCACTTGTCTGTATACCTCATTCTTCCTGGTCACAGGACAAGAACTCAGTACCTGCTGAATGGTGAGGCTAAAAGAGCTGTAACACAAACAGGGCTGAAACCTGCCCCCTGCTTGCCACATGGTGGGCAAAGAGAAGGAGAAAAGAGCTGCAGCCCTTCAGGGAGCCTAGACCTAGGAGCTCCCTGAGCCTGGTCTGTGACTCTCTCTTTGGGGCCCTGTGGTTCCTGGTGTCTTCAAGCTTCTGGGTGCCACTGCATTCCCAAGTGCCACCAGGGAAGCTGCTTGCAATGCGACTGCTCCAGCCACAGACTCACAGAGAGCCAGTGCCCATACCAGCACCTGGAGCTTCCCACCCCATGGCAGCAACCAGTGTATCTCACTGCGCACAGTGGCCAGACCCCATGCTTACTCTCACCCCTCACCATTCCATGCCTGACTCGCCCTTGAGGTGGGGGATCCAGGCTGGTAGTGTGAGCCAAGTGCAGCCTGCCAGGCCAAATGGGCGGAATGAACCCAGTGGGTCCAAGCAAAACTCAGGCAAAGGCACGACCAGCCACAGATGTTTCTGGCCAGAAAAAGGAAACCCAAAGATCCCATAACATCTTGGGGGCTCATCCAGAATCTGCAGAAGGGTGAGTAAAAGAGAATCTGTCCTTTTGGTCCTTTTTTCAGAGTTCTTAAACTTCACAATAGCTAAAATGAAAGAAAAATACCGGGCCTCTGTCAGCCAGTTAAAAGCAAGTAGTGTGGCCGCCAGACTTAAGATAAGGAGGAGGCCGGGCGCAGTGGCTCACGCCTGTAATCCCAGCACTTTGGGAGGCCAAGGCAGGCAGATCACGAGGTCAGAAGATCGAGATCATCCTGGCTAACATGGTGAAACCCCCTCTCTACTAAAAATACAAAAAATTATCTGGGCATGGTGGCGGGCGCCTATAGTCCCAGCTACTCAGGAGGCTAAGGCAGAAGAATGGCGTGACCACAGGAGGTGGAGCTTGCAGTGAGCTGAGACTGCGCCACTGCACTCCAGCCTGGGTGACAGAGTGAGACTCCATTGCAAAAAAAAAAAAAAGATAAGAAGGATAGGCTTGCTGGGGAGGACACTGTCAATCCCCCATCACCCTCAGGTATTGGAAATGTTGGCTTTGTTCCAGTCCACTTTCCTTTATGGAGGTCTAGGCATTGTGTGAGACTGGAAGGAAGTCCTGGGGAAACTGAGGGTATCTGGCAAAGGCTACACCTCAGTATTATCAAAAGTCTTCTGGACTAACTCCAGTCCCCAGCTGCTCATTAGGTTGTCAGCTCTAGGACCTCCAGTCTTTCCTATCATTCTTTCTCTTTCTTTCATGGCTCTCATGGTACCTATACCTTCTTTATACACAATATTAAGAATGTTGTTGCAGGCTGGGCGTGGTGGCTCATGCCTGTAATCCCAGCACTTTGGGAGGCCGAGACGGGCAGATCACAAGGTCAGGAGATCGAGACCATCCTGGCTAACACGGTGAAACCCTGTCTCTACTAAAAATACAAAAAACTAGCCAGGCATGGTGGCAGGCGCCTGCAGTCCCAGCTACTCGGGAGGCTGAGACAGGAGAATGGCGTGAACCCGGGAGGCGGAGTTTGCAGTGAGCCAAGATTGCGCCACTGCACTCCAGCCTGGGCAACAGAGCGAGACTCCATCTCAAAAAAAAAAAAGAAGGTTGTTGCAAACCACAGAGATATTACTGGGAAGAATGAGCATTTGGGTTAGTCATCAAAAGTATAAAATGGAAGGTTAAGAGAAGTACAGATGAAGCAAAGTGTGCCTTGGCATCTGTGTGTAAATTTGTGGCAAAAATGTTCTTGTCATATCCTTGGTTGCCAACTTAGCGCCAAGCCCCTTGAGGCACAGAAAAGAAGCACAGCCTCAGGAGAGAAGCATTAATTTCAATACCATCTTGCAGCTGGATCTTTTCTGTACATGGAAGGGCAAGTGGTTCAGGGTCCTACATGTGCAGGCCTTCTTTGCCTCGCAGGATAACCCGGACCTTTGTTGATGTTGTAGAATTGATTCAGTCCTCCTAGTGGTCATCTCAGGAGAGGCTGTAAGGGACAATCCCAGGGAAATAGGGAAGCAAACCCCAGTGGTACCTCCAGCGGGGTAATCAAGCCCCTCTGCTCCTCCCTATCCAGATTCTCTCAAGCTTTCTCCAGCCTAAAAATCCTCATTTTAAGCAGGTGCCTGTCTCACTCCTGCCCCTACAACAGAAGCCTGATGAACATGGCCCCATTAAAGGACAGGTCCCCTTTTCTCTACAGGACTTAAGTTAAATGAAGCAGGATCTTGGCAAGTTTTCAGATGGCCCTGACAGGTATATAGAGGCTTTCCAGAACTTAACCCAAGTATTTGAACTCTCCTGGAAGGATGTCATATCACTTTGGAACCAAACTCTGACCACCACTGAAAAGCAGACCACCCTGCAAGTGACAGAGAACTTTGAGGATGAGGTTTATATGTTATATAGAGCCAATGAAGGGGAGGAGTTTTATCCAATTGGAAGAACAGCAGTACCATTAGAGGACCCTAAATGAGACCCCAATGATGAAATGGGAGAATGGAAGAGGAAACACTTTCAGGTGTGCATATTGGAGGGCTTATGAAGGGCTAGGACAAAGCCCCTCAATTACACCAAGCTATCCATGGTAGACCAGGGATTAGATGAAAATCCCACTACCTTCCTGGATAGGCTAAGAGGGGCCTTGATAAAGCATACCTCTCTATCTCCTGATTCAGTCAAGGGACAGCTAAGCCTAAAAGATAACTTTATGACACAGGCAGCCCCCTGATATCAGGAGCAAGTTACAGAAACAGGCTAAAGGACCAGATAGTACTTTAAAGAGCTTTCTGAAAGTGGCCACCTCAGTCTTTTACAATAGGGACCAGGAGGAAGTCCAGAAAAATGGAAAGAAAATAAAAGAAAAAGGCAGAGGCTCTGATAGCTATGTGGCAGGCTCACAAACCCCAGAGTCCCTGAGATGCACCTGCTAACTGCTACAAATGTGGTAAGCCAGGGCAGTTTAGGAAGGACTGTCTGGACAGCAGGAGGAAGCCACCTTGACCCTGTCTAATTTACAATGGGGACCACTGGAAAGTGCACTGTCTCCAGAGACACAGGCCACCAAGTCCAGAGCCAGTCTCCCAAATGGTCCAACAGGGCTGATAGGTCCTGAGGCTCCTCTCCCCGTCATCTGTGGTTCAGACCACCATTACCATTCAGGAGCCCCAGGTGATTCTGGAAGTCCAAGGGAAGAAGGTGGACCTCCTCCTGGACACTGCAGCAGGCCTTTCACTTCTCCTCTCCAATCTAGGCCCCCTTCTCTCTTAGCACAACTGCGAGAGGCATCTCAGGTCTCCTTCCTCCTCCATGTCAGGACTCAACATAATCCTATGAATACAGGGAATTTTTCTATGTGAGGGGTTAGCTTTTTTCCTTTCAGGAGGCACCTTATTAGGCCAGGTCTCCAATTCCAGGGACTCACTTTCTCTCCCTTGTTTGAGGAGGGCCTGGTCCCACAGACTCAGTTGCTTATGACAGAGAAACAACAGAGGAGCTGCCCCTGCCAGTTGCTGGCTGTGATTTGCCGAGGGCCACCTGGGACTAATTTAATGAATCCATACACCCTTCTGAGGCATCTTTTTGTCCCGAGCTTTGGTTTGAAGCCCTGGAACAGAACACTAGACCTGAGGCAGATGACAGCTGGAATCGAGGGGCACAGCTCAGGTGAGCATGACTAATTCCTGCTGATTAGGCCCTCCCCCTCCATGGATGGAGGTCATGCTCACATCCATGACATAGATAAGGTCTAGGGAACCCCAAGGCTACTGGCAGTGGGAGGATAGGGCAACACAGAGGTAACTGTGAATATTGCTACTCACTAGTCCTCCCTGCTACATGGGTGAAGGTTGCACTTGCACCCATGGGATGGCACCTGCAAAGGTCACTGGGACTCTGGGATATAAGGATGGAAAAAGAAAAAGGGATGGCTTTTTTTCTCTCCATCACATACCCTGAGTATTTGCTGAAGAGAGAGAGGAACAAAGGGATAACTTTTTCCCCTCTTTCCAGGTGAGTAACCAACCATCTGCAGCCTGAACTCCTCTCAAGCACATCCTAAATCACTAGAACTCCTTTGACCCTCAGACACTGGAGAAAAAAAAAGTTTTTTCATTTTTCCTCCTGTGTCCTCTCTTCACGGGTGGGTAATCACATCTTTGTACCACAGGACTCTCCCCTCAGATGCATCTTTCAAACTGGGAAGAGTTTAATTTCCCCAAACCTTAAACTTCCTGGCAACCTCTCGAAGAAGGTAAACTTCTCATTTTCTGTTCCCCCTTCATAGGATTCCAGGGTCAATAGGGCTCCATGGCTCAGGAACAGGGAACCCAGAGCCTGACGTGCCTGCAAAAGGGTAAAAGTTCTTGCCAGTCAGACTTCTGACCTCTCTCTCTGTGGAAATTAGTTGTAGGAATATAAAAATTACTGTATTATCTGCCTCTTCATGAGTTAAAAAGCCAGAAGTATTGGCAATTTGGTATGGCTAAGGTCAGGTAATAAGAGATTGAAAAGGACTTCTTAAAAAAAGGAGCATTACAGTTAAAAGTCAGCTTAATTAAAGACAGATATCCAAGCTGTAGGTATATTTTAAGGGCCTTTATGTCTTTCCTCTTCATGGATCTTGTTTTTCTGGAAAAAGGTTTTTTCTTCTCAGTTGACTGAATTATTTTTCTCCATTTTTGTCTTGCCACTCTCAATGTACCCATGAGGGGATCCAAGATGACTTCTGCTGGCCTGGGACTCCCTGGGAAAATGGAAGAGGCACCACTAATCCTGTTTTGGGAAAAACCTCTGTTTCCCTCATGGAAACCCAGGAATTAGAGGTGGAGGGATCCCTCTCAAAATCCATTTTTTGTCTTCCAGCTATGCCTGCTTATTAGGCCTTAGAAGCTGCATGCTTCCTAGCCTTGATTCTTGAAGGGCTCCAGCCTGAGGCCAGTAATCCAATTAAGAGATTGGCACATGAAAAAATCTTACAACTACTGGATGTCCTTCTGTCTGTCTGTGTAGTTATATATGTGTTATATGTGTGATGTTTATATAAAAAAGAGTTCTGATTGGCTTAAAAAATAAGTGCTTAGATTAAATATTTTGAAAGAAAAATCTGAAAAATAAATCTGTAATGCCTTTTAGTTCACGTGACTTTAACCTTTCAGAAATAAAAATCTTTTCAAAATGCAGACATATGGGCTAAATTACCATGGCCTGAGTTACCATTATAACATGTAATTGAGACTACTGAATATAGATTTACATGCAAGGTGTGTAATGAAAGTAAAATGTGTCTTTAGTAAAGGAGTATAAGAAGGCATGGGAACGTAAATTTTTGCCTAGTTTAGAGGGTTATTAAAACAACCCTTTTTAATAAGGGTTTAAATAAGATAAAGCTAAAGGTTTAAACAAATTGTGGAATGTTTATAAAGATTGATCTTGAAAGAAATTCTGCATGTGAACATATTGACTAAATTCAAAAGTGTATTATTTGGTTTTTCTGTAAAATGAACATTGAAATAAAAGCACAAAGAGGGTTTCTTAAGGCACTGATCTGATGTTTTATAATATCAAGTGTTTTAGGCTTTTAACATATTTGATAGGCTTCCAAAAATCAAATTTCAGCTTCAAAATTGTCTTTTCTAACCTCTAACTTTTGGATGCTACAGAGGGCCCATGGAGCATCCAATAGAGAGGTGAACAAGATTATTTGACATATTAAGTTACATAGGGTTGCCAAAATAATGTGGTGTTTGATCTTCTTCAGGTTATATTTTAGTGAATAATGTAAATATGTGTTCCAAAATTGTATGGGATTTCTAAAATTCTAATGTCTGAGTATGGGTTATCAATCATAATTAGGGTTATTGTGTTAGGTTAATGTAGCTATACTTCTTCATAATATCTACTGGTGGTAGCTTTCAGGATAACATTATGTGTCCCAAATTTAACACGGTTATACTCAAATTAAAACATTACTTCATGTAAAATGTAAGATCCTTACAATAGTATGATCCTTCTTAATCACCTTTTTAGTGCTTTTGTTATAAATCCCACAATACCACATTGTTTCTATTTCAAAAATAACTTGGTATTTTAAGAACTTTTTTAAAAGATAAAACAGTCCTTTATACGTACACATATATTTACCATTTCTGATTCTTCTCATGTTTCTTCTGTACATTAAAGTTTCTATCTAGTATCATTTCCCTCATCCTGAAAAACTTCCTTTAGTTTCTTATAATACAAGTCTGCTGGTCTCTCAGCTTTTGCTCATCTATAAATGTCTTTATTTTGTTATAATTGGGGGAGGGGTTAGTTAGTAGATAAAGAATTCTAAGGTGACCGTTTTTATTTTCCTTGTAGCACTTTAAAGCTAATGTTACATTTTTTCTGGCATCCATTGTTCCTGATGAGGTCAGCTGTAATTCTTGTACCATAATCCTGCATGTGATTAATGTGTCTTTTCCTCTGGATGTTTTAAAGATTCTTCTTTTTACATATTTAGTTTTCAGCAGTTTGCTATTATGTGCTTAGGTATAATTTTACTTGTATTGATCTTGTTTGTATCACTTCCAAATTTGGGGCTTCTTTCTGAGCAGTATAAAGAATCTACACTCTAGGTCTCTTTCAGAGAGTATAATCTTTAACTAGATATTAGTCAGCTATTTAGTGCTAACCAAAATCCTGACAAAAATAAATGACATATCATAGTTAACACCTCACAGAAGCACCTGACCTCAGTTGGATGTCATTCATGTACTCTTGGATTTAAGATAGCATTACTAAAGGAAAGAGACATGTAATATAAATAAACTATATAATTTTATATTTAAAATGTTTATCCTTCCATGCCTCAGTGGGGAAAAATATCCAGATGAAAAATCTGTTTTAGAACTTACTGCCAGGAAAAAGCTTTGTCTCCGTGAATAATTATTCTATTTCCCACTTTCTAATAGGACAGCCCAAAAGTGGACACTCACAGCTAGCCAATAGATATTATTATTTCTGTCTTGTAATAACTTTTTTTCATTCTGAGCAAAGTTAATTGTTATGTTTTTGTTAAGTCTTTCCTTAAGGAGAGGACCAGTAAATCAATGCAGAAACTAAAACACATATACACAAAAGAGAGGGTAAGGCACAAAAAGAAAGATAAAGTTTATAAAATAGCATCCATCCCAATGTTTGGTATTCTTAAGGTAGTGAGTCTCAACCAGGAGTAAGTTTGCTCCCCAGGGAACATTTGACAATATCTAGAGATATTTTTTCTTGTCACAACAGAGAGGGTGTGTATTAGTTCATTTTCAAGCTGCTGAAAAAGGCATACCCGAGACGGGGTGACTTATAAAGGAAAAGAGGTTTAATGGACTCACAGTTCCATGTGACTGGAGAGGCCTCACAATCATGGCAGAAAGCAAAAGGCATGTCTTACATGGCGGCAGGTGAGAGAGAATGAGAGCCAAGCAAAAGGGGAAACCCCTTATAAAAATCACCAGATCTCATGAGACTTATTCACTACCCTAAGAACAGTATGGGGAAACTGTCCCCATGATTCAATGATTTCCCACCAGGTCCCTCCCACAACACGTGGGAATTATGGGAGCTACAATTCAAGATGAGATTTGGGTGGGATGGAAACGAATCCCCTACAACAAAAAATTATCTATCCCAAAACATTAGTTAGTAGTGCCACTATTAAGAGACCCTGCTTTAGTCTGTTTCCACTCTACATTTTTCAGGTTGTTTTTACAACTATAGGCATAAATTAAGTATCACTAGTCAGTATCCAAATTGAGAGCCAAAACAAATGAAGAAATAGGCTGATTCATCTCCACTGTAGTGACTATGCCTGTAATTAAAATAATCAAAAGTGTACAGGTACTACTGTCTGTTCTCTGAATACAGGCCCCATGGTTATGTGTTTTGTTACTGTTGCTTTGATTTGTTTTTGTTTGTTTTTTCTCTATTTCAGCAGCCAAAAGACTCACTCAGTTTATATGTGCTGATGATGTTAGCAGACTGAACTGAACAGCATTACACCCAGAATCCATGGATGATTTATTAAAGAAATAATTTAGAAGCTATAAATTATAGGTATAATAGCTGGATACAACTGACTACCAGATTCAAATGTTTATATTCCTCTGCTTATTCTGAGTAGGGTACTATGTGAACATCTCACACAGGTACAAGTCTTAAGTAAATTTCTCTTCCTGCTAACTAATTCATAAAGGTATGAATGCCTCTATTTTCTACTTTACCAAAATAAAATTTGAAACATTTAGGAATATTTTTGACTATTTACATTGTTTTTGGTTATTACTTCATATACAAAAATCTATGTTGACTCTTCTAACCTCTTTATAATTAGCATGTTTCTAAAACGACACAGAGAGGTTTGGGGTACTCCAGTGAGCTCAAGTTTAAGTGAATAACTAAAAAATACATTTTCTCATGGTACATTTGGTCTTCTGGATAAATATACCTCATGAAAAATGTGTTTCATTTCATGTTACTCCCTGAATACTTGGCCAATGTCCTTCGGTGGCTGCAGTAGAAATTAGTTCCTACTAAGACATCATTCTCAAAGACAGAATGTGCTCCTTCAAATTACTGGCTTAAAAACACCACAGATTCTTCAATTAGGTTCTTAAGACAACATTTCATATAAATGCCTTAGCACTTTTATTCCCTCAAAATAAAGTGAGTAAAATAAGCTGACTTACTAGCATTTTAATCACATGGTGGTAACAAGTCATAAGTTAAATTGAACAACATGGTCTTAATGCTTGTCACAGAACAACCATGAAATCTGACTAATTAGGTAATCTCAAACTTGAAAAGTTCACAGATTGGATAAATAACAAAGGTTTAATTAATGCCATGTTCCTCATACATTAGGTTAAAGAGAATTGGAAGCTAGAAAGTGTTGACATCCCGATGGGCTTCAAATCAGAAAACATGCTAATTTTTAATATTAAATAAACTTTTTAAAGATCTCTCTCTCTCAATGTAAAGTTAAATTGCACACCCAAACTGTTGAATGTCAGTTTTGAGGTCAAACTGTGTTCAATGTTGCCAGAAGAATTAGACTGCCTTTTAAATATTATACATCTAGGTCAAGTAAATTTGCTTCAAATTCTACAATAAAAGACATTTTTAAAAAGTTAAAAATTGACAATTCTACTGTCATGTTCCTTATATAGTTTCTTGATTTAGAAAGACACCATGGTTTTAATGCACCAGAATTATGCTCACAAAGAACCACCAGAAGTCAACAATTTTATTTTTTGTATCAACAGTTCTCAGAAATGTGAATATGGGCCTTTGCCAGGCACCTATTCATTAGCATTGTGTGGGACATGATTCTTCTTTATGTGGGATATCTTTAATACTACAATATCCAAATTCAAGCAGTGATAATAAAATAAGAACATATTGGGAAACATTCTATGTTACCTACATATAAGAAATGTATAATGCAAGTCTTGAGAATTATTAATTCTCCTAATTGGACAAGAGGGAGCAATAAAGACAGCTTTATTTCTATTGCCCATGCAACATTTTTCACTTTCTCAGTTTTAAAATGTTTTAACATATAAACATTCTTGAAAATGTTAAACAAAAACTGGTAATTTAAGATACATTCTTCATCCTGTTTCTTGATTTATTAAAACTTTAAGACCATAAACACCTGCTAGAAATATTTCATAAAAACATGCTGTATTTATAGTTTTTTAGTTCGGGATATATGAGAGAAATTGTAGGAGTAAATATCTATGTGTGTGTGTGTGTGTGTGTGTGTGTGTGTGTGTAAGATTTTATTCTGACTAAATAAAGCAAAATACACAGGCTGTTTAATAACTAGAATGTAACAGCTGTCCCCACCACCATAGTTGAGGTGAGCTTTACATTTTCTAAACGACTGTGCCATTTAATGGCAATTACTCACGTACCATGTTATATTGACTACAGTTGTCATTATAAATAGCAATATAATTTAAAATACTACAAATACCATATTTTAAAATACCATATCTTAAATATATTTAAATACATAAATTAATTAAAATATCTTTAAATACTATCTTTAAAATATGTTTTTAACTATTTTTAAATATAGTTAATATAGCTAATATGGCATTTTTAAATGCTCTCTTTTAAAATACTGTATTTTAAAATACTGCTATAGTACGAATTTAATTGCTACTAAAATCTGGTATACCATTGTTGTTTTATTAGATTTAATGTCATTTTTTCCCTATTACATTATATCTTCCTTGAAGTTAAACCATATTTCTCCCTTATAATCTTTAAATTAGTGCCACACTCATAGCATGCATTCAACACATATATGATGGCTAGTTCCATAAAAGCAGAGAACTGGCTTTCTATCAGACAGTTTTTTTTTTTTGTTTTGTTTTTGAAACGGAGTCTGGCTCTGTCGCCCAGGCTGGAGTGCAGTGGCGAGATCTTGGCTCACTGCAAGCTCCGCCTCCCGGGTTCACGCCATTCTCCTGCCTCAGCCTCCCGAGTAGCTGGGACTACAGGCACCAGCCATCACGCCCAGCTAATTTTTGTGTTTTTGGTAGAGATGGGGTTTCACCGTGTTAGCCAGGATGGTCTCGATCTCCTGACCTCATGATCCGCCCACCTCGGCCTCCCGAAGTGCTGGGATTACAGGCGTGAGCCACCCGCACCCAGCCTATCAGACAGTTTTAAGAGAGATGTCCACATCAAAATAAAATCCTGTCATGTCTTTTTTCACCTTCGACAGCTGTTCCTCACCAGACATTCATAGTATCTGCTTAAGCTCTGCATTGAAAATTCCTCGCTTCATGTCTGATTTATCCTATTCTCTGAGTCACCTGACTTTACACCACTAGATCACTCAGGGTAATTGCCCCATCAGGAACGATGTTGTTTTACTGATTGTGAAGAAGGATTTCAGTGTTTCTATGAAGTGTATCAATGGAGACTTGTTTGAGACTTGAATACACTGTCTTTATAGTCCAGAAAGAGGGTCTCATTAAACAGAAGTGCTCTGTGCTTGGATTTCCTTTGGGGAAAGCATTATTATTAGTATTGTGCCCATATTACAAATAAAATAACTGAGATATAGAAAGGTAGTCAAAGTCACACTGTTAGAAAGGGGTTGAAGTCAGTTGTCTTTGATTTTATATAAGATGTGGATTCACCTTTCCCAGAAGATAAATTATACACATCGCAATAAGGGGAGGAGATATGTAATGCCTGCACAATACCTGGGAGGTGTCTCCCTGTCCCCAAAATGTTTATCGATTATTTAATATATCTATTTTAAAAAGCCTGCCTAACCACTGAGTTAAAAAAAAGAAAAATCACGGCGAGGCACAGTGGCTCATGCCTGTAATCCCAGCACTTTGGGAGGCTGAGGTGGGCAGATCACTTGAGGCCAGGGGTTTGAGACCAGCCTGGCCAACATGGTGAAACCCCATCTCTACTAAAAAAAATACACAAATACAAAAAATACAAAAAATTAGCCAGGTATCATGGTGCGAGTGAAACTGCATCTTAAAAAAAAAGAAAAAGAAAAAAGAAATCACTGAAGCTAAACCTGAAGCTAAACATGTCTGCTGCGAGGGAGGAAGTGAGAGGTTTCTGCACACCTTTCCTCTTTCTCACGGTCACCCACCTGTGCCTCGAGAGCTTGACTGTATGTAGCAGACAAACCTTCCTAGGTCTGCTCCTTACAACAATGTGAGCCCTGCAATACAGGGGCATGCCGTAATAGCTAAAGATTTGGTGATACTCAGCATAGGCATAATACATGCCAAGCACTGTTTTAAGGTCTTGCACACAGTGCTACTCAAAGGGTGGAAGTTAGCATTTCACTATGAAGTACAGAATATGAGAATAAGCACTAAAATTCTTTTATAGCAAATTAATGGAGTTTTTTTTTTGTTCAATCTACTTTCTAAAATTGAAAGTAGTATTAATTCCCTTGCATCTTTGCTTCATTTTTCTAGCAATTTATTTCATTATGTTTTGCAAAAATATCAGTAATAGATTAGAAATTTAAGAAAAACAGAACACCATAGATAATATGAAAATTACTCATCTATGTATATTGACTCCTTTAATTCTTATAATTCAATGAAGTGGCTTTGATTAGCCACATTTTCAGGTGAAGATAATAAGATACAGAGAAGTTAAGCAAATATAGACAGTAGGTGACAAAGCAGAAATTCAATCCCAAGCATTCAGGTACCAAGACATGTCCTTAACCACAACAGTAAATCGACTCTCCCAAACCAATCTTTGCTGAATATCAGAAAAGCTGTGTTGAAAATATAACTCATTGTCTTGGGTAGAAACAAAGGTGTCAATACAATACGGGCACCCTTCATTTTATTGTGTTTCCTTTACTACGCTTTGCAGATATTCCAGTTTTTACAAATTGAAGGTTTGTGGCAACCCTGTGGCAACCAAGTTTACTAGCACTATTTTTCCAAACAGCATGTGCTCACTTCATGTCTCTGTGTCAGCATTTTTAGCAGTATTTTTTAATTAAGGTTATGTACATATTTTAGGCATAATGGTATTGCACACTTAATAAGCTACAGTATAATGTAAACATAACTTTCATATACACTGGGAACACCAAAACATCTGTGTGACTTGCTTTATTGTGATAATTGCTTGAGATGGCCTAGAACCAAACCTGCAATATCTCCAATGTATACCTGTAATTCTTTGACTCCTCTCATGCCCAGAGACTCCTGTCTCATGGTGATTGTAAAGCAGTGCTGAGGTTTACCCAACCCAGAGAAGGGGGTTGTCCTTGACATTGTCTTTACCTCCTCATTCCATGAGAGTTCTCCTCATCCATGAGAGTTCTCATGGAACTCTCATTTGCTGGTTTCTTCCCATTGGCAAGGTTCTTCAAAACATGGCAGGCTCTCTCTATCTGAAGTATTTAGAATCTGAGGTTCTCTAACTCAGTCAAGCCACAGGCCACTTCTTACAGATAAAATCTTGTGATGATATAAGTTATTTGCAATCATGAAACAAACACATATTGAAAGCCTGCTCTATGTAATGACCTGCAATTCTCTTTTACCTATGTTTGTTATAAATATACATATGTAAATTCTAATTTGTGTATACATATGCATACATACATGCATAAATGTACATATAGTAAAATTTTACTGTTCTCATTTTAAATCCATTTGATTTGAATTTTTTTTTTTTTTTTTTGAGACGGAGTCTCGCTCTGTCCCCCAGGCTGGAGTGCAGTGGTGCGATCTTGGCTCACTACAAGCTCCGCCTCCTGGGTTCACGCCATTCTCCTGCCTCAGCTTCCGGAGTAGCTGGGACTACAGGTGCTCGCCACCGCACCCGGCTAATTTTTTGTATTTTTAGTAGAGACGGGGTTTCACTGTGGTGGCCAGGATGGTCTCGATCTCCTGACCTCACGATCCACCCGTCTCGGCCTCCCAAAGTGCTGGGATTACAGGCGTGTTGATTTGAATTTTTAAAACTCATATTCTGAGTTTTAAATACTGAAATACTATGATATTGGCTTAGAATTTGAATCATTTTGTTCTTAATAAGAAGAAATTTGTTTAGCCTTTCTAGATGTACTTCATTTATCCTTTGCTTTTGCTCTTCCTTCTACTGGTGTTACTATTTTCTTCCTTGTGAGTCATCACAGTGCAGTGGATAAAGAATAGAATTTGGAGCCAAAGTAAGGGAGTTTGAGGTCTGATTCTTCCACTTCTCCATTCAACAAATATTGAGCATCTATTATAGATGAAGACACTGTTCAAATTGTTGGAGATGTGGCAGTACTTGAGATGACAAGCTTTCTCCTCTCATGGAGTTGACCTTCTAATGGATAAAGACAGGCATTAAACAAATACACGAATGAATAAAGAGGTAATAATAGGTGGCCATGAAGAAAAAATAGTAATTAAACAGAGAGTGGCTGATAGAGAGGGGAGTTTTAGATTACATATCAGAGAAGCCATCTCTGACATGGCAAGAATTGAACCAAGATCGTAATACCAAGCAAGAAGTTGACATTTAACAAACGGGGGAAAAAGAATTTCAGGGGGAGGAGCCTGGTATCATAGTTGCAAGTATCAGAAAAAAAAATAGTTCAATTGAAATATAAAAGCTATTGTCTAACATAGTGGAAATTCAAAGAAAAGTATAGTTAAGGGGTGTCTCAATCCAGGGGCCCTGTGACCTTCTCAACTTGGCCTCATCTATACATCAGTTTTAATCCTGAACTGGTGGCAGAGGCTGCCAAAGTCCCAGCTCCATATGACAATACACAAAGAGACAGTTTCTCATAGTACTCTATTTTAAGGGCAAGAAAATGTTTCCCAGAAATGTCTAGCAAGCTTTCCCTGTGGGTCACTGGCCTAAAGATCATCATCTGTCCATTCCTGACTCAATCTCCGTGACCAAGGAAGGTCCTTGTATTAACTAGCATGAGCCTGGGCCCCTGGTTCAATCACTAGCAAAGGAATGGGAACACCATGATTGGCTTCAGCTACTCAGAATTAATCCTGGACCATGAGTCAATCCCACAAAACATGTGGCTACTATGAGTAGAGATGAGCATTTGGACAAAAAATGGATGGTATCAAGAAAAGGCTGGAAGTAAATGGAAGCTAGATGGGCAGTCAACAGTGTCCACACTAAATAGCTTATGCAAAACCCTGGATCCATTAGAGGAAAGGAAGGAGGTTCAGAGTGGCTATGGTATCATCAGAGAGGAGATAGTAATATGAAGTAGGGCCATAGGGTAGACAAAGGTCAACTCCTGTAGGTATTATGATCGTGGTGAGGAGTTTAAATTTTATTTGAAGCATGATGGAAAGCCATAAGAGTGTTTTAATCAGAGTACTTTAGTTATTGCAGCATGATCTGGCTGCAATGTGAAATAAACTGGGCTTGTGTGCTGGAAGCAGAGGACAGAGTACATCACTAGGTCATTTCAGGGTGCATTTACTATATCTTTCTAAATTTCATTTAGCATGCTTTAAGAGAGAAGTGGTTCAACTACTTTTTAAAAGGGTTGTTATAAGTTGTAAATGAAAAATGTGCAAAAGTGCTTTTGAATTCTGTGTTAAAGAAGTGGTAATAAATACACTATCGCTGGCTCAGTCTCACTTAGTCGCCTTCTCAGTCTTACCCTTCCAGACCAGCCCCATACTAATTGCTCTTTTCCCAGAGATCCTATGATGTTTCATGCCTGTAAAAAAATTTTAGTCATAAATTTCATAATCATGACAGTGTATAGTAGCATGCACATGTATACTACATTATAATTTTAAAAGTTTTCAAATAGACACATTCACATATACCAATTATGTGGTATGCGTGTATCTTCAAACAGATTTTCATTTATTTTTATAAATTTTTTATTGATATATAATATTTGTACCTATTTACAGACTATATGTGTTATCTGGATATATGCATACAAGGTGTAATGATCAAATCAGGGTATTTAGGGTATCCATCAGCTCAAACATTTATCATTTCTTTGGGTAAAGAACATTTCAAATATTCTCTTCTAGTTATTTTGAAATACACAGTATACTGTTGTTAATTATAGTCAGCCTACTGTGCTATCAAACACTAGAATTTATTCCTTCTATCTAACTGTATGTTTGTACTCATTAACCAACCTCTTTTTATTCCCAGTCCCCCTCCTCTGCTCACCAATGCACCTTTCCCAGCCTCTGATATCTATCATTCTACTCTCTACCTCGTTGAGATCAACTTTTTCAACTCCCACATATGAGTGAGAACATGTGATATTTGTCTTTCTGTGCCTCGCTTATTTCACCTAACATAATGACCTCCAGTTCCATCCATGTTCAACCAGATTTTAAGTGCAAGGCATACATCAACATTTCTAACACAATATCTGGCACAAAGTAAGTACTTAATAATTATGAATTTTCTTTCTTTCTTTAGGGTCCGGCCCCTGCTTATATTTGTATTATTCTCCTCCTTTCTGCTCTCATAAACTACGCCAAGTCTACCCCAGTGAGGAAAACAAAAATAGGCATTTAATCAGTAGTTATTGAAAGAATGGTGCACTTTTTAAATAATAGAAGCTTTTAAATTAGCAGCACTAAAGTAAAAAAGCAAATGACAGAAAAACTTTAAAACAATATGATTTTCTGTTGCATAATCATTAGCTTGGAATGATTAGTGGATTTTAATAAATTCTTTACTGCTTTGGCTTTTCCCTGGAAGTTCCTTTAGGAAAAGCTGGAAACAGAACTAGCACATTGCCTCCAATAAATTCTGAGCTTGAAGGAGACAGAGTAATGTACAGAAAAGGGCCAGAAATTTAGGTAATATTTATAAATGTAATGCATTCTCAAAAACAAGTGAGTAGAGCAAAGCTTGCATGCCAAAAAAGGAATGAATCATTCAAATGCATACACTGCACCTACTGTACACATGCAAGGAGTCTTAGCATCTGACTTTCTCACAGATTCTGGCTGAGCCATTAATACTCTAAAAAACATCCAAGATTTAAACAGTTCAGACCCTGAATCACTTTAAGCAATGTAAAGCAATAAACCTTCAAGATGAAAGACAAATAAAATGACAGATTTTACTGAAAAGCCATATACAGACTATGTTTATGTTTGATTTACTGAACAAAGGGTGAAAGCCAAAAACCACCCTTGTTACCCTTGTTTGGTAATACTAATAGAGCTATTGAAATCACATACTGCATAGTGTTAAGAAATAAACAATATCAATTTTCCTGACACTGAAAAATAAAGCCGAAACTCAATTTAGGACAAATTTAAGGAGAAAAGCTAACAATCATAGAAGAAATAAAACAAAATAAAAATGTAATACAAATAGGTTTTATTACTTTACAAGTACAGGCAAGACTAAAGGTTCATAATTACATAATATTTAATGCTTAATTTTATTTTCTGTGGTACCTCTACAAGCCATCACTCATAAAAAATATTAAGAGGACACGTTTCAATACCACATAATTAAAATAAATGTTGGTTGTTATACTTTGCTTACTTTGCATTTGTGATTTATACATATTCCTGAATACATCGTTAAAGCAATATATACTCAGTGGGAGAAGCAGCATCACCCCTGCAGGCCTCACAAATCATCTACAAGTGCTGCATGCAACACCATTTACTTAGAGCAAATGGTTGTTTCTCTATAAACATGTTATTTATGAGAGTATCGATGCAATCTGCATAGTAATGTAGTCTTGTATTTCACAGAATTACACACATGCTTTAAATGGCTCTCTCTCTCTTTCCCTCCACCCCCAATTAGCTCCATCTTCATTTAGATCTCCACCATGCAAATCTCTCTCCACTTATGGCTAAAATAGTTGAAAACAGCCATGAAGAAATAATTCACATCACAAAAACATTCTAAGCCCTGACAATTTCAGGTCATCCTTTATTCAATCACTCTATTCCCACAAACAAAAACAAAAACAAAAGGCCTCCTGAATTAATCTATATAAACTATTAAACAGACCTATACACAGTATGGGCTGCCAAACTTATGAAGAGCAAATTCAAAATAATGATATTAACATACTAAAGAAAAAAATTCAAATCTGGAAGCAAGGATCTAGATAACAGTAGTTTATCTGAGAGCAGCAAGATACTCTGTTGCTTTTGTTTGCCAATATTCATATGCATATTATGCACCAAATAATCATGTTTTAGTCTATATCTTCACCCAAAGGCATACAACCTCCTGCATGCTTTAAGTGTATTATCTGCCTTAAACTTGCCTCTGAGAAGAACAGATATGCATTATGGAGTTAAGCATTGTCACAGCTCAGTGGCTGGGTGCCATAATCTGTGACACTGCCTAGCAACCTCCCCACATCACAAGGAACACAACAATGCACTGGGTTGTTTAAGGAGAGCAAGACACAATAAAAATTTACATAAATGACTTTATAAAGGGCAAATGGATTCATTTGCTTAATATACAATACTATGGTCCATTAAAGATTTTCATAAGTAAACAAAAATACAATACAACTTGCATTCCGATGAGTAAAAAGCCTTTTATTGCCTGATAGTTATGTAGTTTTTATATACAGTTACTTTTATGTGTGTTATTCTGTCAAAACTTTGATTCACCAATATGCTTATAGAATATCGTATTGAAATATACTTCATGAAAGGAAATACTTTTTTTAGTGATTAATCAGACTTGGGATCCTTGAGCATTTTATTAACTAAGCTGAATTAACTTCAAGAAATCACTGATTTCTCATCATCTGTGTGCTTCTATGAACTGAATTGTATGCCCCCCAAACTCATATATTGAAGCCCTTGCCCCCAGTATAATGGTCTTAGAGATGGGACCCTTAGGAGGCAATTAAATTTAGGTAGGGCCCTCAAGACGGGCTTAGTGCATGCACTCATAAGAAGAGACACCAAAGCACTCTCTGTCTGTCCCTCTCCCTGTCTCTACCATGTGAAGAAGCAAGAAGGCAGCCATCTACAAGCCAAGAAAATAACTCTCACCAGAAACCAGCCATGCTGGCACCCTGATGTCACACTCACACTTCCGGCCTCCATAACTGTGAGAAAATAAATTTCTATTGTTAAGCCACCCGGTATATGGTACTTTGTTATGGCAGCCCAAGCAGACTAATAAAAGACCCGTATGGGAACATAAATTCTGCAGAATATGTAGGAATATCCTTAAAAATAATAAAATATTTGCATCTCCTCATGTTCATTTTCACCATTATTTTTATTACATTATTTTTAAGACTAATGTTCTCATTGTTTACACATTTTTAAAATTCTTATAGATGTAATATATGAGTATTTTTCCCATAAGTCTATTATTTCTAGACTATATAATAAAACATTTTAAATTATATAAATCAAATATAGAACACTGTTCATTTATCTTTAGCATCAAAATTTACTTATCTAGGTCAAAATCTTTGCAAGATTTACAAGGTGAGGAATAATCTTTAAAGTAAAATTTAAAGACCAAAGCAGAAATTTTAATGAATTTATACATGAGAATATGGACATTTTCAAAGTACTTTTAAAGAAACCACCAGACCAAATGGAGTGACTGACCTTGTTTGCCTGGGACCATCTTGTTTTAGCACTGAAAGTCCCCTGTCCCAGGAAGCCCCTTATTCCAGGGCAAACCATGATGGTTGGTCATCCTACCAACACGTTACTATGTCATTTTTATCACAGGGCATGAAGTAGCTATAGTTCAAATTTTCTAAGGACCCACAGCAAATAGGTTTTTTTTTAATAGTTACATATATATCTGCATCAGATGTTAATTAACCTTTATCCTATACAAAATCTGGAACCTTAAAACTAAAAGGGACCCTAGAAATTATTTTGCCCCCTACTTATGTTACAAGTAAACAGATTACCAATTAAGAGAATAGGACTGTGAATTGACTATAACAAGAACTCTCTTCTCAGGTTTGTTCTCACAGAACTTTTTGAGGATATTCTATCAGGTTGGTGCAAAATCGCAGTTTTTGCCATTGAAAGTAATGGCAAAAGCCGCAATTACTTTCGCACCAACCTAACAAAAAATAATACTGAAGAAAAGTCTGATGACTCCAAAGTGGTGAAGAAATTAGAAGGTAGTGTACTATTTTTTATTTTTTCTTTTTCTTTTTTCTTTTTTTTTTTTTTTTTTGAGACAGGGTCTCACTCTGTTGCCCAGGCCGAAGTGCAGTGGTGTGATCTCCATTCACTGCAACCTCCACCTCTCAGGCTCAGGCAATCCTCCTACCTCACCCTCCTGAGTAGCTGGGACACAGGCACGCACCACAATGCCAGGGTAATTTTTGTATTCTTGCAGAGATGGGGTTTTGCTTTGTTGCCCATGCTGGTCTCAAACTCCTGGGTTCAAGGTAGTGCACTTTAATATATAAATTCAATGTGATTATAAGAAGATTCTTATGAGTAATTTTCTTCAATTTAGATAAATCTTATAATTCATGTGGGTAAATGCCCAATAATTGTTAAGACAACTGTGAAAAAGAAGAAGTGGGAAGGAGGAGTTGTTTGCAAGATGCACAAAAGTCACAATAGTTAATTCTCTATGATGCTATTGCTGTGTGTATAAATTGTTCAGTAGAATATCAATACATGAGCATGAGGAAAATGGAAGGACATATCTACAGGTGTTAACATGACAAATATGAGACATGGGGTGCTGATGTTATAAAAGTTTGTAGGGGAAGAGTCTATTGATAAAAAACTGAATGTATGATATGATCCCATCTGTGAACAATGAAAGAAGGATGTATGTATATACATATGCATAAAAAGATGGCTAAGGCTGGGTGTGGTGGCTCATGCCTGTAATCCCAGCACTTTGGGAGGCTGAGGCAGGTGGATCACAAGGTCAGGAGTTCGAGACCAGCCTGGCCAATATGGTGAAACCCTGTCTCTACTAAAAATATAAAAATCAGCCGGGCATAGTGTCAGATGCCTGTAATCTCAGCTACTTAGGAGGCTAAGGCAAGAGAATCACTTGAACCTGGGGGCAGAGGTTGCAGTTAGCCAAGATCGCACCACTGCATTCCAGCCTGGGGGACAGTGTGAGACTCCATCTCAAAAAAAAAGAAAAAAGATGCCTGAAAGACTATGAACAACAAAATGATAATGGTTGCTTATTTCAGGGTAAAAAGGTTGAATACGACCTTTATTTTCTTCCATATAGTATTATTTTTAAACTGCAGCTACTCTAGCCCTAGGCTTCTATGATTCAAAAAATTAAAAACTAGTGGATATATTTTGATTTGTCTTACATCATCTGAGAAAGAATATAAGACATTCAAAAGTCTAGATGTGCTCGGATTAAAAATTCCTATTTGTGAATGTTGGCTGTGCTGGTTGAAGAGTGGCAAACTCACCAAACCTCCTCCATGGCTGATGCTGATGTAAATCCAAAGGCCTACCCTCTCGCAGATGTCCACCTCACCAAGAAACTACTGGACCTCGTGCAGTAGCCATGTAACTACAGGCAGCTTTAGAAAGAAGCCAAAGAGGCCACCAAAACCCTCAGTAGGGGCATTTCTGGGTTCATTGTGGGGGCTGCAGATGCCAAGCTGCTGGAGATCATTCTGCACCTGCAGCTGCTGTGTGAAGACAAGAATGTGTTCTACGTGTTTGTATGCTCCAAACAGGCCCTCGGGTGGGCCTGTGGGGTCTCCAGATCTGTCATCGTCTGTCCTGTCACTGTCAAAGAAGCTCACAGCTCAAGCAGTAGATCCAGTCCATTCAGCAGTCCATTGAAAGACTTAGTCTAACTGGTGTGAAATGGTATCTCACTGTGGTTTTGATTTGCATTTCCCTGATGACCAGTGATGATAAGCATTTTTTCATGTGTCTGCTGGCTGCATAAATGTCTTCTTTTGAAAAGTGTCTGTTCATATCTTTTGCAACAATGGTGATCATTAAAAAGTCAGGAAACAACAGATGCTGGAGAGGATGTGGAGAAATAGGAACACTTTTACACTGTTGGTGGGAATGTAAATTAGTTCAACCATTGTGGAAGACAGTGTGGTGACTCCTCAAGGATCTAGAACTAGAAATACCATTTGAACCAACCATCCCATTACTGGGTATATACCCAAAGGATTATAAATCATGCTACTATAAAGACACATGCACACATATGTTTATTGTGGCACTATTCACAATAGCAAAGATTTGGAACCAACCCAAATGTCCATCAATGATAGACTGGATTAAGAAAATGTGGCACATATACATCATGGAGTACTATGCAGCCATAAAAAAGATGAGTTCATGTCCTTTGTAGGGACATGGATGAAGCTGGAAACCATCATTCTGAGCAAACTATCACAAGGACAGAAAACCAAATACCGCATGTTCGCACTCATAGGTGGGAATTAAACAATGAGAACACTTGGACACAGAGCAGGGAACATCACACACTGGGCCCTGTCAGTGGGTGGAGAGCTGGGGGAGCGATAGCATTAGGAGAAATACCTAATGTAAATGACAAGTTAATGGGTGCAGCACACCAACATGGCACATGTATACATATGTAACAAACCTGCACGTTGTGCACATGTACCCTAGAACTTAAAGTATAATTAAAAAAAAAAAAAGAAAAGAAAGACTTAGTCTAAAGCTGTGGCCTCTGCCACAATCTCCTGCTGACTCCATTCTCTGAAGTTGTGTATCATATTACCTGTGCAAGCAGGTAGAATTTTCGACTATTTTCTATTGTTATATAATATTTTAATCTGTAAAGCTAATTTCTGGAATTTTGTATTTTTTTTTTTTACTGGGGTTTTTCCCCTTCTCTCTTTATACACACACACTCTTTCTCTCTGCCATCCATTTTTTTTTATCCTCTCTTTTGGAAAAAGAACAAATGCCCAGAATGGACAGAAGCAGAATGATGGCACCATTCAAAGGCAGGAAGAGCCGGGAGAGATCTGATGGAGTCAGGATAGAGATCTGGTTCTGGCTTTCATCCACTAACTTCCTACTCTGTGCAGGGTATATAATGGAAGTAAACACCACCCACGTGTATCCCTTGTCCCTGGCATGCGGAATCATCCATACCTGTTAAAATACTGAAGGGGTTTCCTTTGATCTCTAGGGGATTACGTATCATTTGAGGGAGGAAGCACGTGTTCTGTGAGGTTGTGAGGCTTAGGTCTAAGCACTGTCATTTACTAATGTACCCCTGCTTTTGCTTTTGGTAATATAATCTTATGTTCTCCCTGCCAACCTTAACCATGCCCCTGAGGGTGGCAGGGCAGCAGCACCCCAGAGAGATGTGCTTAGGACCCCAGAGGTGGCCTGGGTGAGTGAGGATGGGGCAGTGGACATGGGTCTTGAAAGAGTCAGTAGAGGCGAGGGTAAAGAGCATGAACTGCTAGTGGCACGAAGGATTCTAAGGTTTAAAGACCTGGCTGGGAGCTAAAACAGAGATGATGGAGTTCAAGAAAACACTCCCTCTCTGGTGAATGGGGAGTTTTTTCAGTGGACTCTTGGCACTAGCTCTTAGGGCCCTAACCCCTGTTTCCTGCTGCAGTATGGGTCAGATATATTCTTTATCACATGAAGAGGGTGCTTACATGTACAATTTTGTGGATATCCTATCAAATAAATATATTCCTTTTCTAATTTAAACAAAAAAAAATGCCTGCTTGACAATTGATCTATAAACTGGCGTATTTGACATAAAATTAATATCTATCATGTTTACAAACCTAATCCTGCACATAGCTGGACATAGAAAAACTAAAAATAACATTTTTTCAGAATTTGAAAGTAACATACTGTAAACACATAAAATAGAATTTACAATTTAAGAGAAAAAAATTACAATATACATTTTAGTTTATACCATTTCAGTACATATATGTGTGTAAATATATACGTACTCATGTATTTATACAGGAATATATGCATATATGTTTGTAACCTGTGTTTTTAACTAGAGAGTGTATGAGAAACTTTTTGTGCCATTAATTATTCATACTAATATTGGCAAGACTGCATAGTACTACACAGTATAACAAGATGATTTATTTCACTATATTCCAATTTGAGCATATGTAATATAATTTTCCTAAATTTTTACCATTATAAATAACACAGCAGTAAATATCCTGATAATAATTTTTGGGGGGAGGGTGGGGGACGGGGTCTAGCTCTGTCACCCAGGCTTGGGTACAGTGATGCAATCTCAGCTCACTGAAACTTCTGCCTCCCAGGTTCAAGCGATTCTCCTGCAACAGCCTCCCCAGTAGCTAGGATTACGGACGCCCGCCACCACACCCAGCTAATTTTTGTATTTTTAGTAGAGATGGGGTTTCACTGTGTTGGCCAGGCTGGTCTCAAACTCCTGACCTGGTGATCCACCCACCTCGGCCTCCCAAAGTGCTGGGATTACAAGCGTGGGCCACCACGCCCAGCCAATATCCTGATAATAATGATCTAGGTGCATCTATAGTTATTTTATGTGACCAAATAATTTTGCTACTTTGATTTCATCTAAAAGGTATAAACGTTTTTTGGCTTTAAGTATATGATGCCAAATTACCCTGGAGGACTGCATACTCAAAAATATTGGGCATTGTCACTTTTTAAAAAGATCTTGGACACCTCATATTTATGTCAAATTGCTCTAATGGGTAAAAATACTTGTATTTAGAAAGCTTTGTGATGTACTATTTACAAAAGATCACCTCTAGCTATCTTCTCAGTATTTGCATAGAATGATGTACGAAAAAATGTTCACATTTTGATGATGATGATTTCTAGGTGGTAGAGATTTCAAGTTATTTTTTAACTTTTCTATTTATACTTACTGTCTTTCTAAATTATTTATAAAGAACATGTTTTTAAATTTTTATTTTAGGTTTGGATACATATGAATGTTTGTTACATAGGTAAACTTGTGTCATGGGAATTTATTGTACAGATTATTTCATCACCCAGGTATTAAGCCTGGTACTCAATAATTATTTTTTCTGCTCCTCTTCCTCCTCCCACCCTCCACCCTCAAGTAGAACCTACTGTCTGTTGCTTCCTTTTTTGTGTTCATAAGTTCTCATAATTTAGCTCCCACTTATAAGTGAGAATGTGTGGTATTTGGTTTTCTGTTCCTGTGTTAGTTTGCTAAGGATAATAGCCTCCAGCTCCATCCATGTCCCTGTAAAGGACATGATCTCGTTCTTTTTTATGGCTGCATAGTATTCCATGGTGTATATGTACCACATTTTCTTTATCCAGTTTGCCATTGATGGACATTTAGGTTAATTCCATGTCTTTGCTATTATGAATAGTGCTGCAGTGAACATTTGTGTGCATGTGTCTTTATGGCAGAATGATTTATATTCCTCTGGGTATATACTTGGTAATGGGATTGCCAGGTTGAGCGGTATTCTGCTTTTAGCCTTTGAGGAATCGCCATACTGCTTTCCACAATGATTAAACTAATTTACACTCCTACCTACACTGTATAAGTGTTCCCTTTTCTCTGCAACCTCACCAGCACCTGTCATATTTTGACTTTTTAGTAATATCCATTCTGGCTGCTGTGAGATGTTATCTCATTGTTTTTATTTGCATTTCTCCAATGATTAGTGATATTGACCTTTTTTCACATGCTTGTTGGCCACATGTATGTTTTCTTTTAAGAAGTGTCTGTTCATGTCCTTTCCCCACTTTTTAATGGGGTTGCTTTTTCCTTGGAAATTTGTTTAAGTTCCTTATAGATGTTGGATATTAGGCCTTTATCAGATGCATAGTTTGCAAATATTTTCTCCCATTCTGTAGGTCATCTATTTACTATGTTGATAGTTTATTTTGCTATGCAGAAGCTCTTCAGTTCAATTAGATGCCATTAATCAATTTTTGCTTTCGTTGCAATTGCTTTTGGTGTCTGTCATGAAATCTTTGCCTTGTATCTTTGTCATAAAGCCTTTGCCGTTTCCTGTGTCCAGGATGGTATTGCCCAGGTTGTCTTCCAGGGTTTTTATAGTTTTGGGTTTTACATTTAAGTCTTTCATCTATCTTGAGTTGAATTTTGTATATGGTGTAAGAAAAGGGTCCAGCTTCAGTCTTCTGCATGTGGGTAGCCAGTTATCCCAGTGCCATTTATTGAATAGAGAGTATTTTCCCCATTGCTTGTTTTTGTCAGCTTTGTAGAAGATCAGATGGTCATAGGTGTACAGCTTTATTTCTGTGCTCTCAATTCTTTTCCATTGGTCTTTATCACTATTTCTGTGCCAGTACCATGCTGTTTTGGTTACTATAGCCCTGTAGTATAGTTGGAAGTTGGGTAACGTGACTGCTGTTTTTACCAGGTCCCCATCCCAGTCTTCCTCACTGGGCAGGACCTCCTGACCAGGACCTTTAGCTACCTTTAGCCAGTGTTTTCTTGCCTACAGAGGTTTCAAACCTGGGACAGAGCTCTGAGAGGGAAGGGTTGGCTGCCATCTTTGCTGTTTGGGCAAACTTAGCTTGTTTGGTCCAAGCTTTGGAGAGTCTGAGGCAGCCAGGGATTAGAACAGACCCCCAGCACAGCACAGCTGCTCTATGAAAATATGGCCAGACTGCTTTTGTAAGCAAGTCCCCAATCCCTTTTCTCCTCACTAGGTGAGACCTCCCAATGAGGGTCTTCAACTGCCTCCTACAGGCATTCAGAATGGCAGCAGATCTGTACCTTTCTGGGATAGAACTCCCAGAGGGAGGGGCAGGTTGCCATCTTTGCTGTTTCACAGACTTTACTGTTGATACCTCCAGGTACTAGAAAATCCAAGGTGACTAGGGACTGGAATAGACCCCCAATCCTTTTCCAGAGGGCTTCCACAGCAGACCTATGGAAGAATGGCCAGACTGTTACGTGGTTGCCCGTTCCCAAATCTCTTCACCAAGAAGGTCCTCCAGGCCTTGGTCTCTGGCCACCCCTTGCTGGGGACATTGAGCCAGTATCAACTCAGAAACTCCCTGAACAGAGCCTTCAGGGGCAAATGAAAGTCTCTCTGTCACTGCCTCTGCAATGGGACTGCCCCTGCTACCCTCAGACTAATGAAGGAGCAAAGACTCTAAGTGCTTTATTCACACTTCCAACAAGCTGCAGTCGATCCAAGGACAGGAGGCCAGTCCATCTCCCACAGGTCTCACCCATTCCCCCCGTTTCTCACCAGACAAGGAACCCCTGGCTTGGGCCCACAGCACAGGCCCTTCATCCGGGGCTTACTGCACTGAGCGACTGCTGACCTGCATCTCTCTGGGCTGGAGCCCTCGGGAGACAAGCAAAATATCCTTGGCCATAACCACTACTAAGGTCTCTTCCTCTGTTGTCTCCCAGACAGGGAAGGAACATAAACTCTGAAATCATCCCAGAGCTTCAGTGGGCAACCTAGGAGTGCCAAGTCATGATCTACAGCCAGCATTTAAGGGGGAGAGGAACTCGCACTTTCAGGGCATTAAGAGGGAATATGACTGCAACTATGAGGAAACACAGGGGAGCCAAAAAACCAAGCAAGTCTACTAACTGACCAATAAGCCTAAAGGCCACCTACTGGATCACACCCCAAAGCTTCATCACCAAAAGTACCTGCTAGCCTATCGTCCTCTGAAATGAGAGACAAGTCAGCTTCAAATAAAGACCCTGCACAAAGCCTTGGCCCTGTGAAAACATCTAGAAAAGAAGTCTACCGACTGTACTCAATCTACACTGCAGTTAAAGTAACACCCACATGCAAGATGAGAAAGAACCAACGAAAGAACCACTCTAGTAACTCAAGTGGCCAGAGTAGCCTATGTCCTCCAAACAACTGCACCAGTTCTCCAACAAGAGTTCTTAACCAGGCTGAGCTGGCTGAAATCACAGAAATAGAATTCAGAATATGGATAGAAATGAAGATCATCAAGATTCAAGACAACAGCAAAACCCAATCCAAGGAAACTAAAAATCACAATAAAACAATACAGGAGCTGACAGATGAAATAGCCAGCATAAAAAAGAACCTAATAGGTCTAATAGAGCTGAAAAACACAATATAAGAATTTCACAATGCAATCACAATTGTTAACAGCAAAATAAACAAAGTTGATGAAAGAATCTCAGAACTTGAAGACTGGCACTTTGAAATGATAGTCAGATAAAAATAAAGAAAAGAAAATAAAAAGGAATGAACAAAACATCCGAAAAGTACAGGATTATATAAAAAGGACAAATCTATGAATCACTGGCAAAGGGAGGGGAAGAAAGCAAAGCAAACAACTTGGAAAACGTATTTCAGGATATCATCCATGAAAACTTCCCCAACCTTCTAGAGAGGCCAAGAGTCAAATTCAGGAAATACAGAGAATCTTCTGCCAAGATTTCTACACAAGATCATCTTCAAGACACATAATCATCAGGTTTTCCAAGATTGAAATGAAAGAAAGAATGTTAAAGGCAGCTAGAAAGAAAGGCCAGGCCACCTACAAAGGGAATCAGGCTAATAGCAGACCTCTCAGCAGAAACTCCACAACCCAGAAGAGATTGGGGGCCTATATTCAATATAAGTAGAGAAAAAAAATTTCAACCAAGAATTTTATATCCAGCAGTTTTTAAAATAGTTCATTGAAAATATCCCCACCATATGAAACCAGAGATTAAAATATATTCACAAGAATTATAGCAGCAATAACAATGGTAGTAGGAGTAAGTACTCTGGCTTTTTTTTTTCTTTCTTTCTTTTTTAGAGATGGCATCTTGCTATGTTCCCCAGGCTGGTCTTGAACTCCTGGGTTCAAGTAATCCTCCTGCCACGGCCTCTCAAAGTGATTTGATTACAGGTGTGAGCCACCATGCCCAGACAACTTTCTAAAATTCTTGGATACCATTTACTCAAAAGCATCAACTCATTTTATTGTTAGTTATAATCAAACTGACAATTTCTGTGCATTTCTGCCAAGTACAAAATTTACCTACATATAAAAACCTGGCCCAACTGTACTCAACAAGACAAAATAAAAACAGTTGAGTTAACTAAAACAACCATTTATGGAAGGAAGAAATGTTTATATAAGTGAAATAAGTATCTCTTGGCCCTTAATCCTTTAATTTCAACTGGTTATCTAGCCATTTTGCTAGATATTTAGACTACTGCTAAAACTTCATGCATTCTGAAATGGTGCTATATATTGGTGCCATCTGTTAAGTGGTACTTTTATATCAAATTATTTTGTTTTCAACCTCTCCTTTACTCAGTCTTCCCTGGCATAACATGTGCAATAGGAGTACAGGCTAGAAGTTAGATTATACCAACTTAAACAACAGATCTTTTTTTAACTGTTGAATCAATTCAGTTTCTTTACTTGCCAGCAACAGAACTTAATTCTAGTTAAATTAAGCAAAATACATATTATTAAACTAAAACAAAGAAAAAGATGTTATTACATGCATTGTTGTAAGTGGGCCGCTCAAAGATCAATAAAATGAGAATGGAAGCCCAGACATGGCTGACCAGAACACAGCGAGCCACAAGAACTAGGAAAACAGAGGATACTGGGAGAGTCTGGCCACTATGATGCTGACATTGCTAGTGATATCAATAGTCTCTGACCATTTCCTCAATCACTCTCTCAAGACTTAAAGTCCCTAAAGAGACAGCATCCTATAGGCCAAACTTAGATCATGTAATTGCTGCTTGGCTACCAGGGTGAGAGGCTGGCAACTGGAAATAACTGCTCACCATGAATACTCACAGTGGAAGAGGGGCAATCTGTAAACTAAAATCAGGGCACAATTCTAAATGGGAATGGCTGTCGAGCATGATAAATGTTCACTGCAAATGACTGAATTTAGTACTAACATACCTTCTTCCCTTGATTCCTCCCCTAACTCTTAGATTAGCCTTTTTCAAGCTGAAGATCACAACATATTAATGAGTCATAAGATCAATTTAATGGATCATAACTACCTATTCAAAACAAAAATTGAATGGAGCAGAAAATATCAGAGCGCATTCCATATAGGATGTTTGTGAAACTTCTGTTTCTTTATTTTATATACTTCTATGGAATATGTGAATGTGCATTTTTGTATGCATGTGTGTAAATGTGGTTGTGATTCACAAAGTTTGAAAACATTTTATCCTAGTCCTTACCAGCAATCTGCAGAACTAACAACTATATGTGCTCCCTAACATAGACTACCACAGTCCACAAAGGGTAAATCCAATCTCATGTAACTAGTATTATGAAGCCTGCATAATGAATCACTGTAAGTAGCTTATGATATAAAATGGTTTCATCATTTATATCATTACATATGGTCATTAAATTTTATTTAATTAGGACAAATAATTTTTATAGCCACTTATTGGATCACAAGTAATTACCCTCTTGTCTGAAATCTTACCCGTGCCACAAGTGAGAAAATGCCCCACATGGCAATTTTTCATTGTAAATATTTTTATATAATTGTAATGTTATTAGCTCATGTTAAGCCAGTCAACTCTTGCTTCTTCCATAAAATTGTCTCCAATTATTGTAATCCACACTGACTGCTCTCCTTTCTCCTAATGCCTTTGATATTTAACTCTTAATAGTTCATCATATATCTGTAACACCTCACCAAAATAAAACATACCTCAAAGCTAAGTAGGGATCAAAGACATGAATGGCCAAGAGAAATCACAAATCCCATACACTAAAACTTGTGCATATTTCTCATAAGAAATATCTCTAGAATCTTGTCTGAAGCTCATTCTTTCTGCTTTGTATATAATTCTAATAAGCATCGTACCTAGCACATGAGAGATTTAAATATTTGTTTAATAAGCACATGGATAAAATAATGAATGAATGAATATGAATAAATGATATTTCTAAGCCCAAAGAAGTTTAATGGGAAGCAAAATGCAAGGGTGGTGCTATAGACTGAATTGTGTCCACTGAAAATTGATCTGTTAAACTCCTAACCCCCAATATGACTATTTGGAGTGAGAAAATAATTAAGGCTAAATGAGGTTATGAGGGTGGGGTCCTGATCCAATAGGATCAGTGTCTTTATAATGAGAGACTCCAGAACTCACTCACTTGTTCTCCACCATGAGACACAGTGAGAAGGCAGTCATCTGCAAGCCAGGTAAAGGGCCCTCACCAGAAACTGAGCCCTGGCAAAATCTTGATCTTGGACTTTCTAGCCTCTAGAACTATGAAAAAATAAAATTCTGTTGTTTCAGTTCCCAACCCCAACCCCTAACTAGGAGCTGGGATCTCTCTCTGTCTCTCCACCCTCACCACCACCCTTCCCTCTCTTTCTCTCTCTCTCTCTCACACACACACACACACACACATACACACACACCACTTGCATGAACTCGAAATTTGAAATCTTTGGAGTTATTTAAAATATGAGCAAACAGAAGAGAACATTTCAACAGTATTATCGAAAGAACAAATGCACATAATGAAGACTTTAAATCATTGAAGAGATTGTAATGCATTCAGCATATTCTATTTACCCAAGTGGCTAGAAGTTAAATATTTTGTTACCTCTTGTCAAACTGAAAATGGCAGTGTCCCAAAATACTCTTTCCCGAAAGGTTTTCTGTAGCTGAATTTTGTTGCCGTCATTTCATCAAATGTAATTTCACCTCCATGACTTGATTGTGGGCAATCTGAGGGCAGCAATTACCTGAAGTGCTTCAGAAATTACTAGCTGAAAACAATGTCAGAAGGGTGTGAGCCATATAGCTTAGAGATGGATAAATGGATCAACCTTCATGCAATGACTGGATAAATTTTAAATATTGTGCTTTATTTGATAAACTAATTTAAGCAAAAATATATAAAGCAAATACACTTCTGTGAATGATACAGAAACTTTATGACATTAAGCATTTTCTAAGGAAGAAGAACGAATCTATTTTATAAAACCAAGGTCTCTTCAGTAAATACGCACCTTTGTAAGGTGTAGACTCACTCAGGACTAAATCCTGGGACTTGGAGAGCTTCAGATGCAAATACTCATCCCCTCTAACAGGGACCCATCTGGCTTATTAACCACATTTTAATGAAGAACAGAATTCTATTCTATAAATGGTTTGCATAATACCTACAGCTCATTTTCATGAAGAATTTATGCAGAGTGTTGTGCTCATGTAAATAAAGTGCAGTCATTTGGATTATGGTCTTTACAAAGACCACTCACCACAGTTTTTAAAATAGACAAAGAATAAGAAATACATATGTGAACAAAGAAGACACAAAATTTTCCAAAGGGTTTGTATATGTCAGAGCTTCACAACTTTGACTTTTAAAAAACATGGTTTTGCCAAACTCTGCTTTATTTTAAGGTGATTTTTTGTTTTATACTGAAATTTATTTGGCTAAAATTGGAAACATTACTAAGGAATATTTGTGGACTCTTCTTCAAAATGTACAGAAACTATATTCTTGCCTGATACATGTGAAGATATATATAACTAGGAACAAGATTAAAATACTTCTCAGTTTTTGGTTTTTGTTTTTTTGTAACAAATGTGTATGCACATTTCTAAGATGAATACATTTCAACCTATGCATTTTAAAACTGTAGCAATCAGGTCAAAGAACACTGAATCCATAAAAATCAAAGAAACTTTTTGCTTTTATATCACATTCTGTTTACATTAGTGAACACTAGTAGTTTCCAGGGCTTTACCAGAAGTATAAATTCTGACAATTGTTTTTGTCAATCTCTGTTCGAAATAGCGTTGGGGTGGAAATAGTAATTTATAGAGTAATGGATTTAAATCAGAAGATATTAAAAATGATACTGTATAAATAGACCAACAGATTATTTTGACATGCGCTGGGTATACTTTCCTCTTTTAACTGGTCTCAAAATAATTTCAGGAGTGTACAGATGCAACTGCTAAAATTCACAAATAATATAAGATATAGTTTTATAAAAATATATAAAATAGCTTCCGATACTATTTCACTTATAAAAACCACAAATATATTTTTCACAAGATCCTCTCACTGATCATCAAGTCATGCAAAACGTTTTGCAGGGAAAATGAGAAAATGCTAATCTAGTGACAGCAACAGTTCCCAAGAGGACAAGCAGCCAAAATTATGCAGTGGAGGGCAGTGGGAAAGGATCAGAATTGGCATATTTGCTAGCAAGGTGACAACCATTATTAAACCAATTCTATTCTGTTTTATCTCAATAATCAAATCAGTAGGAAGTATCAATTAACAGTTAAATCATTTATAACTTAGCCCATCAGAGCATTTGTTACCCAGCGCTTCTCAATCTTTGTCACAGCATGGCACACACACAAAATGATGTTATTTGAATAGCACAGAGAGATAAACAGATAAGATAATTGACTCCACAACTCTAACCACCGGAGGCTGCCCCAGGGCCAAGGGGACAAATACCTCTCAGTCTATACATAAAGAATTCTTGAACACACAAATTAGAAATCTCTTTCCTAACCAACTGAAAATGGAAATGTGTGTTATAACAATATCCCAAGCTGACATACATTAGCTTCCACATGCCAAACAAAATTTAAAAATATTCACTGAATGTCTACTATGTACTATGGTCTATTTTTAATGATAGAACCAGCAGGCAGATTTGAATATCAGGCTAAATCCTAATTTCATTCTGTAGGCACCAAAGTGCAATGAAATATTTGAGCACAGGAAAATAATTTCAGGAAAAAATTAAGTTTAAAAAAATTTCAAGAAGCATTTGAAAGATGATGCTAGAAAGACGGTTCAGTCCCAACTGTGTTTTTTTAATTTGCTTTGGGAATGAGTTGAATTTAGAAGTTCATTGAGTAAGGCCTGTAATTGTTCACTAAAAGGTAAGAGGAGGAACAAGAAATCAGATTGACTGTGGTATTTCAGTGAGTTTAATTTGGAAAAAAAAAAAAAAACAAAAATGTCTGAAACTCTGGAAAGAAGAGAAAGGAAAGCCAAGGGAACCAGGATGTAGTGGTTGTCAGGTAGTCAGGGCTTCCAGGACAGGGATGGAAAAGAAATGAATATGCAAAAAATATAAAAAGGAACAGAAAAACACAACTTCATGGCTAATAAGATATAGTTATGAACAGACATAGGAAGCAAAAGGAAAAATTTAAGTTGTGTACAATTTTCTGACCTAGAACATAGGAAACACGTGAGATTATTATTTGAGTCAGTTTTAAAAAATGACAAATTAGATTTTAGACATTTCAAGTTCAAATGGCAGGACATCCAAGGATTAGGCAAATATGTTGACGTGGAACTTAAAAGAGAGGTGACATTTGAAACTGTAAATATGAATTAGAATTCCAAGAAAAGCAAAGTGATGTTTATGAGTCAAATTCTACAGTCCCAATGACAATATTGTTAAAATAGAAAAGCATATGCAGGTTCAACCACATGCCATATAAAAATATTTATCCCACAAATCTCTTCCAATTCTCCACAAATTATTTATTCAAACAATATTCAGCAAATATTTAAAATGCCTAAAGTGGCAGGACTGGGACATACCATGGAAGACACAATTAACTTGGTCCTTCACCTCATGGAGCTTGTAGCACAGTTGGAGAGACCAACATTAAGCAAAACCACCTGCAAATAAATATGTAATGCCAACTGGGAATAAATGTTATAAATTCAAATTTAAAATGCCATAGCAAATTCTTATTGTCAAGTCATAAATCTGCTATGTACCAAATTCATGTCCTTAAAATATTCAAGAAGCCAAAAATTACATATTTAATGTTGGCCTTAATTAGAGAGTTAATTTCCATTCAAAGTTTTAATTGCAAACTATTTTATTATCTTGGAGAAATTTACAATTCACATGAACAGCATAACCAAAGCTGGGTCAGGTATCCCTTTTAAAAGCACCATAACTATCTCTGTCCTTATTCTCCCATACTGCTTTATAGTTTTCTGCTCATAAGTCTATCTCCCTTCCTTGACTGTAAACTCCTTGAGAGCACTAAATGAGGCTTAAATGTTAGTATATCTGCAATGCTTAGCATAAGGTCTGGTGCCTTGGAGGCACCATAGAATGAATAAGTGATTGAATGAATAAATGACTATCAGCAGGAGAAAATCTTAGGAGAAACTCCATATTTTTATTTTCATCCTTCATCATCAATACCAAAAATGATTAAACACCTGCCATAGATCAGGCTATAATAATTATTGGATTACAAGGAAGCACAAAATATAGTGCTTACTCCCAAAGAGTTTATAATTTAGGGACACAGACATACAAATCAAGTAGCATTTCATGGTTCACAAACTGCCTTCTCATACAGGATCTCTTATTATTGTCATAATAGTCTTGTGAGTGAGGAAGGGCAGATATTAACTCTTATGATTCTGATGAAAAGGCTGAGACCCACAGATGGTAAGTGCCTTGGCCGAGGCCTTACTTGAGTTCTACACTCACTTTTACTCCTCTGCCTCAAACTGAATTAGACACTGCCTCATTCTATAATGCTAGAACTCAAGTAAGGCAGTGTTTAATTCAGTTTGATGCAGAAGAGTAAAAGATAAGTTTCAGAAGTAGGTAAATTATAACTTAAATACCAGGTTACGTCTTCAGGCTTACAAGTTAACATCAATTCAGCCTCAAATCTCTTATCTTAGATGCCAAAAAATAGTTATATGTGAAATAAAAATAAAATCAGTACTAATAATATAATACATTTAATCTGAGATTTAAGAATGTTATTTTAATTGCCTTTATAAAAAATAAAAACTAAAGGGTTTATATTTTCTAAGAGCCAATATAAGTATTGATATATGCACTTTTAAATAATTTGTATATTTTCCTTCTACACAATAAATGTAAATAGTATTTTTTGAAATAAATAGTAGTGATAGCTAATGACTACTAGTAACGTAGTTAAAAGTTCTATTTCAAGCTCATACATCAACCAAACATGAGGAATAAGGAAAAAAGTGTTAAAATTGCTCAAGTGACTGATAGTAGGCACCTTTTATTGCCTCCAGCTCATATCCTTCTTTGAGAACAGCCCCTCCTCTTCCTTCAGCCATTTTTCTAGCCTGTTCTCTCTATCAGAGCTAATTGGACAGTAGTAGGTAGATTACTGATCCAAGCAAGGCAATCATATTTTCCCTAGAGAACCTGAACTGCAGGACACAGAAACTGAGGAGCACAGTTGAGAGGCACAGTTGTGTAAATGGAAGGGCTAAAGGAAAGTCCATATACTTCCTTTGCTAAACATCCAGGAACTGCCTTAACCTTCCATTCCTGAAGCTTGTGTGTTTCATTTATGTACTTCAGTGTCCTTTCAAAATATTTCTTTAAAAAACAAAAACCAATCCTACATGTAAAATAGATAAAACTTCATACATATATAAAATCCTCATATTTCATTTTTAGCAAGATTAGGTAGAAATGAATTATGTCCCTTTCAAAATTTATTTATTTATAAGGGAACAGGGAGGGGAAGAGAACTCTCTAATCTTACAGAGTTGAAGCAATTGATCAGAAACAAATAATAGAATAGATATAATGGATGGGATCTTGGAGTTCAAAAGAGCCAAATTTCTAAATTCATTAGATTCTTACTATGACAGTCTGACAATCTGGAAAATCATATCATTAAAGAAACTTTTCTTTGATATATAGGAACATCCTTCACCAATATCAACCTCAATTAACAATGGGTACATGACCCAGTAGTGCCATGTTTGACTTTTGTATTAGGTTACAAGTTTCAGGACATGCTAACGAAATGCTGTCCCAAGGCAATCATTGCTGTTCAGCCAAGAAGTTCAATCTAGATACTGAGAGAATAGTTCTACCCTCTAACGTTGCTTTTCTGAAGCCTTTTATGAGCCACTTTTACAGAGGTTGCTTGTGTTAAAGAGTCATAACAGGATAAGGCAAAGGTGGTAACTTTCTGAAAGACAAGTCTACTAAAATTATTTTATAGCATTGTTCTGATTAAGATAACCAAGTTTTATTTAATTAGTGGCCCGTCAGCTTTTTTTTCAGCGTGTATTAAGCAACATAGAGACCTCTCCAATATTAAGTAATTTCTGTTTTGTTGATTTTAAGAATTATGTTTGATTTTAAAATGTTAGGTAAATTTTATTGTGTATATTTGAGGTTTACAACATGGTTTTATAGGAGACATGTAGATAGTAAAACAGATAGTAAAATATGAAGCACATTAATGTACCTATCACCTCATACAGTTTTATACTTTTTTGTGACAAGAGCAGCAAATTGTATTAGGAATTTTTGCTAAATAAGTATATTTTAGCTTTTCAATTTTTAAACACTATTTTTCATAAGATACTAATATTTTAAGGTTTATGTATTTGAGGAATGAAATTACTGATTTTTTTTTCTGTTTGGCTAACATCAATGATAGCTTTCAACTCGTCTGTCTATGAAGTCTTACTCAGAGTAGACTGACCCCACTGTTGATTGGTTAGTGCTAATGGTAGATTTACAATTGATAACATCTCTTTCTGAAAATAACTAGTTGAGACAAAGGTCAAAAAAAGTTCTAATATTTGGGGCATTTCACTGCTGAATTTAAAAAGTCAAGAAACCAAAAAGATCAGTTAATAAAACACCCCACATGCCGAATAACTAAAGTATTAGAATAGCAATAGTGAAAATTTTAAATCTCCTTATAAACCGCTAGTCCATAAAACTTAATATTAACCATAAAACTAATTTACCATAATTTGAAATTACTTTATCCTGAGATAAAATGGTAATGGA
This sequence comes from Homo sapiens, assembly GCF_000001405.40. Classification (NCBI taxonomy): domain Eukaryota; kingdom Metazoa; phylum Chordata; class Mammalia; order Primates; family Hominidae; genus Homo; species Homo sapiens. Next base: position 97,433,398 of record NC_000005.10, on the reverse strand, counting down.
GAACTCTCATTTATTGAAAAATAGATTAAAATGTTTCAATATCTTCACTTCTTACAAAAGTGTGTACAAATAAAAGAAAAAAGTTCTCTTCTGCAAAATACCTTCCTTAAAATTGAACTTCATTCAAGGTACACTCTTGTTATCCCATAGTTAACTGGTTTGCATGTAAATAATGTGCAAATGAAAGTAGGAGATTCTGCAATTAATATGATAATTTATAGTTTGGAGTGTTAGGCTCAGTATGAAAATTAAAATTATTTTAAAGAAAATTATTTTATATCTTATCTTTTTAGTCATCAAATCAACAGTCTTATAAATCATAACAGTATAAAAATTCTATTTCACCATTTTTACTCCAGAGTGTTTTTCTTTATGTCTAAAAATAAAGTTAATTTGTATTCATAGCTCATAAATAATTTTCACACAATATACATTGTCATTTCTTCTGCTTTAGCATAAATAACAGCTAAAGCACTTGCTGGGCGAGGTAACTATTTTCTAGGCGAAAGAAAGTCCAAATTCAATCTATGGTTGAATTTAAATTAATCGTTAATCTGTGAGAAGGAACTGAATAGATATTACTCGTACTGGGGTTATTTATCTATATATGAGGCTTTTTTCATTAGAGGTAAGGCAGTGGTGGAATGTCATCAGTGCAGTGGCAAGATTATTTAAGAGATATCCACAGTCTGCTCTGTCAGGGAAAAAATGATTTGGGAAGCTTAAAAATATAAATAGATAACCCCATATTAATTATTAATTAATTATTTTCTTTACACACTGTGTGGTATAGGGTCTGGCATACAGTAGCTACTCATTGAATATCACTTGTACTAAGCACTGCTAAAAACTATGGCACCAATAAAGACAAATAAGCCAAGTTTCTACCCACCAGGAACCTATGATCTAAAGGGGGAAGCAACTACTTGAATAAATAAACCTACCAAAGACAGAGTTGAATAAAAATAAAATATAAGACATATATCTTATGAGGAAAGGTATAAAGTACATAACTCTAAAGCCAGAAGTTTCTTAGAAGAGGTAGACATTTTTTAGCAGGGATATGACTTGGCTTTAACAGAGATTCCAGGAGGAAAGAATATTCCAGGAAAAGGAAGCATTTTGACCAAAACTGTGGAGAAGGCAGACATTATATTTGGGAAATATCTGGCTACAGCATGAGAAATGGAGAGACCCAGGGACAAGTACAGCGTAAGATAAAGACATTCCAGATCCCTTCACTACATCCTTCTCTCCAGCTCATCATGCCAGTTTCTACGGTTTCACTTCCTTCCATGCCAGCCCAGACATCATGATACCACTTCAATGTCTGCCTTCAAAGAACCTCATACCCAGTCTATTCCATCTGCCCTTCAAAGCTCTGATTTTAGTCCACCTAGATGTCCACTCTTTTTATACCTGGGAAGGCAAAACTCAGTCCCCGAGCAGATCTATGACATTTCTTGGCACCCCTTTTGGGATCCTTTATGGAACTTACCTAGAATGTTTTTTCATGCAAGTTAGCCGCTGGTTGTGCAATCCAGGTGTCCTTCAGCAAATGCCTGGTTCTATGTGTCCCTGCAGGTGTCTTTGCTGCACACTCAGCTTCCTTCTTCCCTCCTTCTTCTTGCACAGCACCCATCACCATATTCTACCTATTGGATTATAGGCTGTGTCACTGGATTGTATGTTCTTCAAGGATTAGAACTTATGTCTAATAAATTATGTCTCTCATTCATTTATATGCCTACCATAATTCATGATACATTCTTCTAGGTACTTAGTATATATTTTCTGATTTAATAAGTAAATGAATGAATAATAGTACAATATATTAGGACAGAATGAGATGAAGGGGGTTGAGATTTCAAGTTGAAAAGTTTGTATTTCTCAGCAATGGCAAGTGATTTTAAAAACTCAACACACTGATGGCTCTCACACCTGTAATCCCAGCACTTTACGAGACTGACGTCAGGGAGATCCCTTAGGGCCAGGAGTTCAAGACCAGCCTAGGCAACATAGCAAGACTCTGTCTCTACAAAATAATAAATGAAATTAGCCTGGCATGGTGGCATGCGCCTGTGGTCTTAGCTACTCTGGAGACTGAGATGGGAAGATCTCTTGAGCCCAGGAGGTTGAGGCTGCAGTGAGCTATAATCACACCACCACACTCCAGCCTGGGCAATAAAGTAACCCTCTATCTCAAAAAAAAAAAAAGGAAAAGAAAAGAAAAAAAGAAAGAAAGAAACTCAACATAATCAGATATGTGTTTTACACTAACTCTGGCAGTGCATCTCTGGCAATGTCTGATGTGGAAGACAAACTGCAGAAGAGAGAAACATGTGGCAAGTAAATCAGTTAGTAGGCCATTACAAGTTTCCAAGTGAGGATGATAAGAGAACAACAGAAGGAAACACCAAAGATGGTCATTTGAGTGGGAAAATGATAAATTCAGTTGAAATATAAAGTATAAAAGTCTTAACTGTCTGTTGGGAATATGGGTCTGGATATGAAAAGATATTTTAAAATCACAGAATTTTTAGAATTAGAAATCAGCTACTACTCTTCCCCCACCTTTATTTTAGCTTTCGAAACTGATGTGAAGGACAGATAATTCAACCCAATACAATTGGCTCCAACTTCAGCGTTACATGTTTAGAGGATGAGAGTTAATATTACAGAAAGATAACATTTTCTGGGGAGAGGCTATACAATGAAAGTTTATGAAGCACCAGAACCTGGGATTTGCAAAACTGTCTCTCTATAAAGCAAGAGCAAGAAGGAGAGCCAGGAAAGGAAAGGAGGAAAATTAAATGGTCTAACTTTTAGAGTCTCTTAATGGTAAAATTCTTGCTTTTTACACAGATCTGCATTCATTTCCTCAATTTATTTCAATAACGTTTTTTGTAACCTACTCAATGTTAGGTACCACACTAGGTGCAGAGGCCACAAAGATCAATGATAGAATTGCAAAGAGGCACACATGTTTGCTATTAGCTAGGAGCCCATATGAACATCTTGCACATATTTATCTATCTAGTTTTCACAACCACTCTTTGAGATTGAAACACAGAGTGGTGAAGTCACTTGCCCAAAATCACTCAGCTAGTTAATGGTAGACAAGGATTCAGATCTAAGCAGTCTGTCTCTAGAATATGCTAATTACTAGCTCCTAATTGCTACACTATGTTGCCTCTGAAGACATAGTTCCTGTCCCAAGAAAACTTGGGACAAAATATCCCAAAATAGGGAAGCACATGTATTAATTTAAATAAAATTAAACCAGTGGGGTAATAAATGCTTGGAGTGCAAACAAAGAATTGTGGCATGAGGGATCAAATACTTTCAATGTTTCTAGTGTTTGTACTGGGTTACTATGATTTTCCTTACAACACTGACATTCTGGTGTAAGTAGTCAAGGAATTCACTGAGGTTTCTTTGAATCTACACCTCCCAATGACTTTCTATGATAGTCAATCACGGCACCAAAAGTCATTTCATAGTCAGTGAATAGTCAGTGTGAAGCTGATCCAGAGCCCAAGATGTATGCCTGTAAAAGCAAGGAGAAAAATACCTAAGAGTCAGACAGAACTGGGACTAGAATAAAGAAAGACAAAGAAAAAGAGAGTGCCCAAAACAAAAATTACATTTCCCTAGCTTTTCATCTGGCAACATTTAGCACATCATACAGTTAGTTGCTCACTTTGCAGTCTTTACAAAAGAGCAGCATTGGGTATTGAGCACTTCGTTATATATTGGCTACACTTTCCTGTCATGTTGCCTTTATTCTAGAAGGGAGTAAGAGAGGAGTAGGAATTCTCCATAAGAGAAGATCTGACCAAATAATAGTCGATTCAATGGGTTTTCCCCTTTGGGTTTGCAAGTAAGGGTTTGCAGGGCCTTCATGTTATTTTACCCTCTCTTCTCCATTCACCCTGACTAAAAAACATGTCCTTGTATTAAACTCTGAGAGAAAGAAATCAAACATGATTTAATGCTCTGTGTTTGACAACAATATTCAATGAAGTAATTTGTATGATTTACAGAGATATAATTTCCTCTGAAAGAAATTACACATGCTTAAAAATAATTTTATGATATAGCATAGTTGTTTAAAATTTGGCATAGATACATGCTTAAACAAATTATCTTTGCTTTCAGAAAGGAACAGAATAGTTTAAAGATCATAAATATTAAAAGAACAAAATGATTTTTTTTAAATCAGGGGCAAATTTACTTAGGCCTGAGTACAAATAGAGACCGTCCACATTTTCAGGAGGACTACAAAAATCAATCTATTGATTTTAGATTTAAATACTTGAAATAAAGACTATACATATATTTCAATCCAGTTATAACGTTACAAATTCAATATACATTCATAATGTTTAAATTATATATACAAATATTTTGGATAAGAATCAGGTTCTTTCCAATTATTTATCTCTCAAATGTCTAGAATTCTAAGTAGCAACCCTGGTACAGGCATCATTGCAAATAGTATGTATCATGAATATGTACACTGTACAATTCTTGCCATTTTTATTTGCATTCATTTTGTACTAATTAAAAAATACATTAGAAATGTCTTTCTCATTCTTTATACTCAAAGTACTTAAACAGTAAAATTAATCATCACTTGAATTTCATATATTATTTTTCAGAACTGAACATTTTAAAACCACAAGCAAATTACAATATAAGAAAAATTACACTAAATTTTCAATTAAAGTTTGAAAGAATTTTTCAGTAGGAGCAAACAAATATAAGGGAAAATAATGGCTCTAAAAAACAGAACTTGAAAATGTCTACTAGTACTATGTCTTGTTCAGAACTAGGCACTCCAGGAGCCAAAATCTCAAATGCCTACGGGTTCTAGGCTGACAGTAAAAAGGCAGAGGGCTGAATCCATGTGAAGACTATGGGAACTCAGAGAAAACAAGCTTTGACTAAAAGGGGCAGTTTCTACCAACTCAACACATAGTAAAGCTGACTCAACGTTGCTGGGTCATCTTTAAGAAAAGAGGAAAACTTAGAATAGTTTATGAAATGTTGACAATCAATTTTTTTAACTGAATAATGTTCAGGACAAATCTTTCACTCCAAAGTTTCTCTGATCATGGAATGTAATCCTTAAACAACAAATGTTACCTTCCACAAATCACTGTATGATTTTAAGTGAATGTGATTCCACATCAATCTAAAATATTGTGTGCTACAAAAAATTAAAATCAATTCCAAGATTTATCACAAAAATGAAAAAAAAACCTAAGTGTCCCTCTTTATATTTGGCAGCTCAAAAGATTTTCGTAGATTCAAAGAGAGAATGAGAATTCAAGGCTTGCCATAGATGTCTAATGCTCTGTGTCTATACAGCTATATGTTTCTTAAAAACCTTAATTGTTTTAGAAAGTATTTAAATGTAGTAAATGTTAATAGCCCCACTTACAGTGGTGAAATGAAGCTACAGATCTTCTCCAAAAGAAGCGGTAAAGAGGAAAACAGAAAAACCACTCATTTCACTTTCATATTATTCTGTATACTAAATAAAAACCACAGAGCAAAACATTTGTAAATGACTTACGGAAAATGGCACAGTGTGTGCATCAACTTGTATGCCAATCTAATGAACTTTACCAATCATTTCACACACCACCAAGGAAAAGGTTGTGCTCTTACATTTTTTTAAAAAAAAGGGCAAGCTATTTTAGCTTTTGTAGTGACCTATAAACAAAAAGGGCATCTATGACACAACAAAAACATTTCACTCACTACCAGACATAGCAACCTTCTGCATTTATAATACCTTTCTACTTTGAATACTACATCATTTTAAGAAAACTCTGTATTCTTAACATTCCATTATATTGGTCACACGGCAAACCACCCCATTTGGTCTGAGGCAAAAAAAAAGGAGAAAGTTTGAACCTCTAGCACCACAATGGGGTGGGAAATTTGGGAGCACTCCCTCTACTGTCTCCAAGGAAATTCTGCTCCAACACCTCAAACTCCATTCTCTTGAAGGCTGGGAAAAGGTAATCACTAAAAGCGGGAGAGAAAAAAAAAAACTTCATAATTTTTTAGCATACCCAGAATAGGTTGTCTAGCACTTCTATTTGGCAGCTTTTATTTTGCTCTTGAAATCTGGAGCCTCAGTAAAAAGCTGAAACAGGAAGAATTATATTTTTACAAACCATTTCATGTTTAAATGCTTATTAAGTCTGGGTGTAGATGCATACAAAGTAAAGAAGTTCCAGTGTGAAACTCTGGGATAAATTCAGTATCTAAGGGTAAAATGACAAGAAAAGCTAGTCAAAGGGGCAGAACAGATTAATCCATGAAAGGCAAAAATGGAGAAAAGTTTAGGAGAAAAGGCATCAAGGGTGCTTAGATTCCACAAAGAAATTAAGATGAAAACCGAGGAGTAGATTTTTTTATATGAGATCATTCCTCATAGAAGTAGGAGACCAGGTCATCTTTGAGAGTAGAGGTGGTGGGGTGTACCCATCTATAGTAGCATTCTGTAGTCTATGCTTTCTGCCCTTAGTTTTCACTCCATTTTTGCTGTTCTCCTTGGCCTAAGGTAATATTCATTCAACTCACCTTAGGAAGTTATCAATTCTTCACCCCAACACCTCTTAGTACTTCTACACCTATAGTTACAGACAGATCCCAGCAAACTTCAGGGAAGGTGTGACCCAGGAGATCACATATATTTCCCCAAAATTGCAAGATTTTGCTAATATATTTTTGCAGAAACCAGAGGAATATATTTGAAAATGAATTCTAAATGTCTTAGACCAAGGAGAATAGAAGATAATATTAGATTAAGTTTGAGTTTCTTAAACATTCAGATATGTACTGACCATATAACCCAACAATTCTATTCTAGTATTTGGTCCAGAGAAATGAAAACATATGTCCATGAAAACTGAAAACGAATGTTCACAGCAGCATTATTCAGAATATACAAAAGCTGGGAAAAACCCAAATGTCTATCAACTAGTGAATGGATATACAAGCTGTGGTATATCCGTGCAATGGAACACTACTCAATAATAAAAAGGAATGAACTATTGAAAAAGACAACATTATGCTAAGTAAAAGAAACCTTTTACTTAGCAAATAATAATAATCATACTATATGATTTCATTTAAATGAAATTCTAGAACAGGCAAAACTAACCTATCATGATGAAAGTTAGATCAGTAGTTGCCTGGAGGTAGGGAGTTAGGGAGATTAACTATAAGTGAACACAAGAAAAATTATTGTATAAATTTCAAAAGTCCTTGATCCATATACTTAAAGTGTATGGATTGTACTGTTTTTAAATTGTAATTTCATATGTTGATTTTTAACGGATTACATTGAATTTATTGATATGAGTACACTTTCTGGAAATTCTGAACTTCATTTTTTAGTTCAAGCAGCTGAGAAGTGGCTATAATCATTTTTTTGGTTAGTTAACTAAAAAATTATCATGACCTACGGTTAATTAAGTCAAGAAGCTAGAACTCTCTAGCATCATTGGAAGAATCCAAAAACTTAAGAAATGGATTTATCACATTCAGACTACACATCCATCCCCGTTCCTTATACCTTAGAAGGCTTTCCTTCACTGTGATGTCAAGAAATACATCAGAAAAGTGAGCAGCAGCATCCTTAAAAAGTTCTGTGGTGGAGGTTGCCCTCCGCAGGCTGGGGATGATAGTGGGAGACATCACTGTTGAGACTGGCTCCTGACAAAAGCTGTGATGATGAGACCCCAGGGTGAAAGGGCTACTTAGCAGCACTGACCCACCAGAAAAAAAGTGAGTAAAATCACTACAATGAACAGCAGGAAAAAGTAGTAATTAGAGCGACCTAGTCTGCAAAGATCTTTGCTATGGCTAACTGGCCATGATGTCCTTAGAAATAAAATAGGTTCCCTGCTAAAATATTATTTATATAATATTTCAGTGTACATAACACAAAATAGCTTAAGAATGGATGGGTAGAAAGCTAAATAAAGGTGAGAAAACTGACTTATCCAGTTCTCAGACCTAAGCCAGATCCAGAGTTCCTTGGCCAAAGAGAAGACATGGTCCTCTTGAGAATGGACCTTGCAACATAGTCAAAAAAAATGTGCTGAATTTTTTTCAAACCTTCTTCCAAAAGAAGTGTGCACTAGGGGATAAGTAATACTCAGACCTTTCAAAGTTGATTGATTCTAATTCCCAAAGACCCAATGTAATAATCTGACTTCACTCGTTAATGTTTGCTGACAGCTCATAAGCCTCATCTCTCTATTTTCCTCTTCTTCCTTGCATCTATGCAAACTGATACAAGGCGTTCATTCCCTTCTTTGGTACCAGCAGAAAGTTCAAACTACAAACAGGAGCCCTCACTCTGACCCCACCCTCTGACCACCACAAAAACTCCAAGCTAGCACAGCCATTATGGAAAAGAGTATGGAGGTTCCTCAAAAAAATAAAAATAGAACTACCCTATGATTCAGCAATCCCACTGCTAGGAATATAGCTGTAGGAAATGAAATTAGTATGTTGAAGATAGATCTGCACTCCCATGTTCATAGCAGCAATATTAATAATAGCCAAGATATGGAAGCAATCTAAGTGTCCATAAAGAGAATGGGTAAAGAAAATGTGAGATATATCAGCCATTGTGGAAGACAGTGTGGCGACTCCTCAAGGATCTAGATCTAAAAATACCATTTGACCCAGCAATCCCATTACTGGGTATATACCCAAAGGATTATAAATCATGCTACTATAAAGACACATGCACACGTATGTTTATTGCGGCACTATTCACAATAGCAAAGATTTGGAACCAACCCAAATGTCCATCAATCAACCAACCCAAATGTCCACGTCCTCTGCAGGGACATGGATGAAGCTGGAAACCATCATTCTAAGCAAACTATCACAAGGACATAAAACCAAACACCGCATGTTCTCACTCATAGGTGGGAGGTGAATAACGAGAACACATGGACACAGGGCAGGAACATCACACACCAGGGCCTGTCGGGGGGTGGGGGGCTGGGGGAGGGATAGCATTAGGAGAAATACCTAATGTAAATGATGAGTTGATGGGTGCGGCAAACCAACATGGCACATATATACCTATGTAACAAACCTGCACATTGTGCACATGTACCCTAAAACTTAAAGCATAATAAAAAAAATAAATTAAAACAAAAAAAGAAATGTGAAATATATATATATATATCACACACAATGGAATACTATTCAGCTTTAATAAGGAAATTCTGCCATTTGTGACAACATGGAGGACATTATGCTAAGTGAAATAAGCCAAGTACAGAAAGAAAAATACTACACAATCTCACTTACATGTGGAACCTAAAAATGTTTAACTCATAGAAGCAGAGAGTAGAATGGCAGTTGCCAGGGGCTGCTGGTGTTGGGGGATAGGGAGATGTTGATCAAAAGATGTAAATTTCAGTTAGATAGGAGGAACAAGTTCAAGAGATCCATTGTACAACATGGTGGCTATAGTTAATAAAGATATGTTATATACTAGAAAATTGCTAAGAGAGTAGATTTTAAGTTTTCTCCCCATAAATAAATGCTAACTGTGTTGGGGGAGGGAGCCAGTCTCTTTTTCTTGTTCTCTCAAGCCATTTTCAGCCCAGGTTGGGAGGGCTACATTGTTTTCCCCAGAAAGCTTCATTATGTGAGTAATAAACCTTTCCACACCCTCTTGATGTGTGTGCGGTGCCATCAGTCTCAATATAAAACAACAAATTTTGAGTGGGAGCTCTATTCTGTTTCTGAGGGATAACCTGAAACACCCCAAATGCCATTGTATTCACCAACGCAGGAACTTATGATAATTGTAATAGATGGAGCTTTGCTTATATGTCTCCGCAGATAGATTCATTAGTTATTTCCTCAGTTTCTGGATATATAATTGAAATAAATATGCTCATCAATGGGCTTAAATCACTACATTCGCAGATACTAGAATGAGATATGGTATGGTAGAAAGAGCCTAGTGGAAGCTCCTGGAACATCCTCTCCCCATTTGGGTAGAAAACCAAACACAATGCTCTATCTCCAAAGAAGCTAAACACATGAATGCCATAACCAAAGCCTTGAAAATGCAATTTAGTGGGTTTTACTACATCCTCATTTAACTTACCTATTTGGCCTATGCAGATGGTAGATGACCTTGGAGAGTAAAACTTAACCAGGTAATGACTACAATTGCTGCTGTTTCTCCTCCTGGAGTATCTTACTGGAGCAAACCAAGGCAACACCTGGCACCTTATACAGAGCTATTGATTGGACGAATGCTTTTTTCTCTATACTAATTTGAAAGCATAATTAGACAGAGTTCATTCTCACCCAGAATTGACAAAACTACACCTGCACTGTCACCTCAGTGAGTTATGTCAACTCTTCTGCTCTCTAACCCAATTTAGTCTGCAGAGATCATAATCATCTTGGCATCCCACAGAATATCTGGTCCATTTCATTGATGACATCATGCTGGTTGAACCAGACAAACAAAAAGTGACTCGTATTGTTGTAAGACACGTGACTGCCATAAGATAGCAAAGAAACCCATGAAAATTCCATCTTGTTACTATGAAGTTTCTGAGGGCCCAGTGGTCTAGGGCATGTGCGAAAAATATTTCAAAAGTAACAGACCAATTGTTGCACCTTGCACTAATTGTTGCTACAAAAGAGTCATTGGGATCTAAAGTTTTCATTTGATATTAGAAATAACACATAATATATTGGAATGTGCTACTCCAATCCATATATTAAGTAACACATAAGATGGCTCTATTTCAGTGGGGCTTAGGGAAAAGGAAGGCTCTGCAGTAGGGCTGGGCTGCCTCTGTAAGCTGCTCTGCCACTTGGGCCATATGAACCCACAGATTTAATGGTACTTGTGGTAAATAAAGATGCTGTATAGAGACTCTGGCAAGCTTGAACAAAAGAATTGTAGTACAGACACCGAGATATTTAGAGCAAAGACATATCTTCTTCTATTCATGATTCCTTCTCTTTTGAGATAGACTGCATAACTGTTATCCAGAAATGGAAAATGTGACCATTAGGAATCTGTAGCTCCCCTTTTTGAAGAGAAGATAAAAGAGTCTTGCCCTCTCTTACTCTACTCTAAGATACTTTGGGTATGACATTGCAATCAACATTCCCAGACTCCTTTGCCAGCAGACTTCCCATTAAGTTATCTCAATAGAGGATATAGAAGGAAATTGTTAGTCAGAAATTCATACATTTACATGATCTCATTCAGAATAGAAAAGTATTTTTGAATACACCTTTAATTCGAAGTGTGGGTTCACAAACTATTCTTGTCATTGGCCCCAAGAATATACACTGGAAGACAATTTATAATATTTTACAGTGAGAAGATATTGAATCAAAATTAAACTGAAAATTAAATATGTGAAATCTAGATATATTGTGCTGTCGTACTGAGCATGCATGTGCTCAAGAAATAACCAGTATTGTTGGATCTGCATACTTTAAATGTAAATATTATTTGTCTTCCCAATATAAAACTTCAAAAAATTTGTAATATTAATAATTCAGTTCAGCCCACTTTCCATTGAGGAGCTACTACCTCCCATAGACTACTAAAATATGAGCCAGGAAGACACACAGGAACACATACAAAGGCTGGGTGCAGTGGCTCACACCTATAATCTCAATGCTTTAGGAGGCTGAGGCAGGAGGATCACTTGAGCCCAGGAGTTTAAGTCTGCACTGAGCTATGATCATACCACTGCACTCCAGCCAGAGCAACACAGCAACATGCTGTTTCTAAAAATGAAATAAAATTAAATTAAAATTTAAAAAGAAACATATATACATCGTGTTTCATAACCAAATTTAAAAATATATTCTTGCGCTTTTAAGTCACCCAAGGTACTAATGTTTCTGTGAGTGTCAAAATTAGCAAATCACTGCAGTATTCCTCAGGAGACTGATTACATATCCTCATATGATTTATCACCCCAGCATGAAGGGCGTTTGGGGAATCTGCAGTGAAGTCTTGTAGGATCTTTGTCCTGGGGCTTGAATGAAGTTTGGTGTTTGCCTTGAAGCATGCAGGTGTCTGTACATCTTACTCAATTTGGTCCCAAGTGCACTCTTGTGAGAAACAAAGGTTAGGAAAAGACACGATAAACAGTGGGAAAGCCAAGGAAGTTAATTATGCCAGGTGAAAGGCCACAGAATTCCCTTTTAGCACCTGCAAAAGTATGCCAATATTTATACAACAGTCTCCTGGGATTTGTGGGAGATGTCAATTTTTAAGACACTCTACCTTTCCTTTTTTTTTTTTACTTTCAGCCATCTGTAAGTAATATGTGCAGAGAAAGGATGATCTGACAAAGTATGAAACACAACAAGCTGTAAGACTTTGAGCCTTGTATAACAAAATATGAAAACAAAGATCAAAGCCACAAGGCATACTGGGTGATTGTTTGGTTTTTTAAAAGAACAGCCCAAAGCAAGGAAAAAAATTTCCCAACTTCTAAACAAACAGAGTATCAGCAAAACATAAACAAGAGCATGTTTATCTTATACCTACCACTGAATCTCCTTGAGTCCCTTTCCTGTTTAAGCCGTTAGCCAGCTGGACACAAAGTCAGCAGAGCAGCCTGCTTTAATTTACTCAGAATGAGAGATTATTCTGAGGTTCCAGTGTTACTTTTTATGAAGTCAAATCCAAGAAAATTAACTCACATGTATAAATGTGTAAATCTATAAAAACTAGATATACAATATGATGAAAATGAATTCCATAAAACGTACACAAAAAATTCTGAGCAATTTAGATCCTAATGCTGATAAAAGACTTTCAGTCTTTGAAGAAAGAAATTTCATTCTTTGTAAAGACACTTTTATAACGTTGCTGGGCTTTTTCTTCTATAAGTTAAATGTGCACCAGAGGTGACATACATAACTTTTTCTGAGGAGGAAAGTAGTATCTTCACTTAGCCAGACATGAAAATGTCTCATTTTCCAGTTTTTCTATATTATGCTCTAATGATAAAAAGGTAATATTTTTAAACTATATTGTTAGATAAAATTTATAAATCTAGCTCAATAAAACATTTTTTTCATCAGTTCTATAATAGAGGCTTTTAAATGTTATCCAGAGAAATAAGCCCAAAGTGAGTAATAGAGTGTCTTTATCACATTAACCATAATGCTCAAAACAGTTTCATATTGATTAATTCAAAGAAAACTGAAATAGAAAACATCCAATATGTGACTTAAAGACAGAAATGTCAACCAAATTTAATATATTGTTTTTAAACTCTATAATTGTTTTTTGTTGCTGGCCATGAACAAAAGATACTTTTGAAGCTCAATTTCATCTTTAACTCCAAGTGTACTTTAAGAAATATCTTTCAGTTTCTCTTCCTTTCCATCTCAACTGCTATCTCACCTAGGTTTATACATCATCACACAAATCTGTTTATTTCACTAGGTCTGTTCCTAATATTTGTGGGATCTGAACTAAGAGTACAAAGAAATCCATTTACCATTTGTCTAAATATTTAAATGTAATTAAATCAAGCTAACAAACTACTAAATAAAATATATGCTGTCTTTCTAATTTGAAATAGATGATTCATAATAATTAGACAGTCCAAGTTTGAATTTAGAGTTTTTGGATTTCTTAAAGTTCTGTAGATACTACAGGAACTAGAGGAACTTGATACTACAGGAAGAGCTTGTTCCTAACCTTCATCCTATGGCCTACCCTCTTTCTCCTCCCAACATCAACTCCAACATACACCAAAGTGTCCTGCATGGGCGCTTCAGCCTGCATGTCCAAGTTCAGCCCTTTAATTCCTACAGCAGATGGCTATCCATTGGCTCCTCTTAGGGCACAGGTATGTGTAACAGGTTAACATGGTCCACCCTTGGGAGGAAAGATCTTAGATAAAGGCCTATACAGACCCTGAAAATGTGCTTGGAGTCATCTCAGCAGAGAATTATGGGGTCCTAAATACACAAGGGCCAGAGTGTAGGCCCTAGATGGACACAACCTCTTGCCCCTTGGAGGACACACAGCTGGAGGACAACCCAAAGGCAGCCCTCATAAGCACAGGTCCCAGTACAGGGGCCTTCTTTATTCCAATCCGTTGTTGATATTGAATTTTCCTGCCTGCTCTACCACCTTAAATTCACTCTACGTGTAAATGTTATGTCCAAAATTACATTCATTATCAGTTTGTAATTACATATTCACTTTCTCCTGAATTTCCTAACATGGTAATAAAAGCATTACAATTCAAATATTTGTTTAACCTAGAAATGCTAGGGTCTTAGAATTTTAGAGTCCTAGACTCTTCCCCCACTATTTGTCTCCAATCTTCTCAATTTTTTAGCCGAAGCATCAGTAAACTCTTTTCCATTCAAATTGCCATTATACTAGCTAAAGCTTTCATTATGTTTCTAGACTATAGCAATAGACTTTTAAATGGTTTTCTGGCACATGTCATGTCCTAGCTAAATTCATTCCCTGCTCTTTTAAAAGGACATTTGTAATCAAGTCACTATTATCTTTAAAAAGCTTTCATGCCTGCCCACTGCCAAAGAATGAAACTAGCATGAGTTCAGCATAGACAGCCTTTTTCAATGTGGCCCCAGCCAATAAGCAGCCATTTCTCCCTGAAACCATCCTGCCTTTTTCTTTGGCCACACTAGGCTACTCATCATTCTCAGAATATTTTATGCCTTTTCACTTCCTATTCTTTGCTCATGCAATTTCAACTGAATTGAATACCTTTTTCCACTTCTGATGCATGCGAACTCTTTCTCATCCTCCAAAGCCAGCTCAAATATCCCCACCTCCCAACAGGCTGATTTGAGCCCTAGACAAACTTAATAATTAATTCTTCCCTCATCTGTGTCCTGATTGAATTTTATGCCTGACTTTCTTACAGCATGTATAAAAGCTATTATCCCTAACTTTCTTACAGCATGTATCAATAGTATAATTCATATTAATCTTAGCTGAATGACAGAAGTGACTGTTGAATTTATATGAACTTTCTCTTAGTTTGGAATTCCCCAGAAGCACACCCAGAGGCAAGGATTTGTGTGCAAATAATTCATTTAAGAAGTGCAGGAATCACTGCTATACAGCAGGGAAGTGAGACAAGGAAAGGAAGCCAGCCAGTAAGGTTTACATCATCAAGCCAAATAATACTGAGAACAACTAGAGCTTAGGACACACACCCTCCCAAAGGACAAGGTGGCTGAGGTATGCTAACTCCATCATCAATGGCCAAAGGCTGCTCCCAGAGGGTATTCAATCCCCTGTACTTCTCCCTAGCTTTATACAGAGAGTGGCCTTCCCCTTTTAAAGAAAAACTCTTAAGCACAGAAATGCAAATAGTTGAAAGTTATGGGGAGCACTGTATTGAGGCCCTTATCGGGTGCTCAGAAGCCCAAATCTAGAATCCTATTGCTTCTATGGCATGGTAAGCAAAAAGCAGGGACCAACAATTTATGATTCCTCCATTAACTACCAATTTGTTCCTTAATCTCTAGCTGCATTAACTCTGATGAAAGAGCAAGGATTCATCAACCACTGTGAAAGTTCCACTTTATTTAATCCTCATAGCACTTAGAAGTAGCTATTATTACCATCATTTTATGGAAGAAAGTGATGTTCAGAGAATTTAATTCATAGAATTTAAGTCAAAGAATTTAGACCATAGAGTTAAGAAGACTTAAGAAAAGCATTTGAACCCAGGTACTCTAAAAACATTCAAATGCTTAATAAAAATCTGGCTATTTAATTTTAGAGTCAAAATGTTAATTAAACTGGACATGTTTTGTCATTTCTGTGCCTAATTTTTTAAAAACTTCATATTTAATCCATATTTTTTAAATCTTTAGTTACTTGAAATTATAAGCTATAATAAGAATTTGTAAAAAAAATGCTTTGCTTATTGTTTTAAAAAATCAAAGATTAAAAAATCATAGTGCCAAACTAGTAGGGAAATGCACTAAATTTTATTATAAAATACTAGAAACATGTTATAAATGCATAATATATATTATTATTAAGATTAGAAATATTAATGGATCTTTAACTCTAAAAGTAGTACCTCAATTTGTGCTTAATGTTGTGAAAGAAAACATTAAACATAAATAAATAGCTATTAATATATGTGGAGTCTATCTGTGAAAACTGTTCAAAAATTTGAAATAGATTTTTTTTACTTGTCATAAAAATCCTAGTCACTATATATTTAAGTGATATTTTGTATTTCTCCAAATTTTATAATTTGCTTTCAACCTTTTTGGAAGCATGTGTAGTATAAAACATTAAAACAAGGGTTTTAAGATCTACAATACAAGCACAGCTAGTACCCCCATATCATACCCTCATAAGTAATCACTGGGCCAGCCAAGCTGTTCAATCTCCCAAAATACGGAATAAATTCTTCAAAGTATTTGGATACGATTTGTCCCAACAAACAAATTGTTCTATACATATTATCAAGACCCTAATATGTGTTAAGTGGGAAATCATCCAATGATATAAAAAAAATTAACTATTTTGCTAAAAAGCTCAGTAGAAAATAGTGTTGATTCCATTTTGATTTAAAATAATGTAAAGAAGTGAATATTTTGGTTACTGATGATTCCTGTGCAAAAGGTTAACTTAAATAAGTCTTTTTCAGCCTGACCAACATGGTGAAACCCCGGCTCTACTGAAAATACAAAAAAATTAGCCGGGCGTGGTGGCGGGCACCTGTAATCCCAGCTATTCTGGAGGCTGAGGCAGGAGAATCACTTGAACCCAGGAGGCAGAGGTTGCAGTGAGCCGAGATGGTGCCACTGCACTCCAGCCTGGACAACAGAGTGAGACTGTCTCAAAAACGAAAAAACAAAAAAAAAAAAGTTTTTTTAATTTTTTAAAGAAAAGATGTAATCAGCAATTCTCTTAGTTCAACATTTACTCATAAGGGCGTGTGTGTGTGTGTGTGTGTGTGTGTGTGTGTATAAAATTCATATTGAGTCATTTTTTCCTCAACAAATTTAATAAAAAATCTTAGTTATTTTTCCCTCTTAAAAAAAAGAAACAAACCAAACCAAACCTGACCTGCTGACCAAGGAGAGATCACCGACACGGAATATTAAAGCAAAAGTTCTAGGTGTTTAGAAATACCTAGAAAAGGTCAATTTGTGTTATCTTTCAATAAAAGAAAAAACATAATTATTTATGATGTATTCCAAGCATGGGATTTATCAATCAGAGTTCTGACATGTTTAATAATTTATCTTGATAAGAATAAGAAGAAAGAGAGAGAGAGAAACAAGGAAGGAAGGAAGGGAGGAAGACAGGGAGGGAGGGAGGGAAGGAGGAAGGGATGAAGGAGGAGGGAAGGAGAGAGGAAGGAAAAAAAAGAGTTAATGATAAATGTGTCACTAAATTGTATTTTAAAGACATTCCCATTTTTTACAGCCGTATAAGCTGTGGCACATTCTAAAACATCCATAAAATTCCTTCTATCTCATTTGTATTCTACATTTGTAAATTCTGTCTCAAGTAAAATAAGCAATTCGGTGCAACATTTGCAAACTTTTATAAATACCATTTTAATTACTCTACACTCCTAAAACCTTCTGTTTGGATTCAAGACAGTGATGTCAAACATTTATGAGAGTGTTTATTGCTTTGGAGTGGGATGCGAAACTTATACGGCACATCTGTGTATTCTAGAAGACTGCTTTATATAACTCAATCACATACACATAGGATTACAGGTAATTTCACTTTTATATCAGATTAACACAAAATGATTATCAGCTTCAGTGAGTCCATTATTTTACAAAATCTCAGCTTAAATGAAAAATGGTACTTTACAATTCCAAATGACTTCTGAATTCACTATATTCCCAACTGTGATAACAAATCCAAAAGAAACATTTCACAGTATAATTCAATCTTTTAAGAAGGAGAATTCTTAAAAGGTCATGAATGAACATTAATTGGTTTTAGTCCCAGCTTTGATTTTGTAATTTATTGTTTATTAATTTATTAACTTGTTCATTTAGTCAATAAATGTTTACTAGGTTTCTTCTATTGGCAGCCTTTAGGCTGAGCACTGATAATACAAGATACAATTGTAAATAGCACCTGTGTTTAAGGAATTGCCAGCTGGTGAATTTGTCCTCCTTTCCTTTAAAGGAAGTACCCAATCTAATCTGAAAAGACTTAATGTATGACACAAAGTATTAGAAATAAATCCCCTTTTAACTTTATAGAATGTTGTCATATTAGAAACTAAAACTCGTGCCAATTTATAGAACTTTGACCTTATTCCATTTCAGCCATCCACACCCATATTGTCACAACCCAGAACAGTTCCACCTCTGGAATCATATTTAATTATCTTTTTCTGCCCCAAACATTCCATTATTTCACTACCTTACTTTCATTATAAGTGTCATTCCACATCATTAAAATCGTCCAGTCCCTTAATCTTTTTTTTCACACTATCAATCTGCTTTTTCTCATTTTCTTCACTGAGCAGCCTGTAGTTCATGATCCATCATTTCTCATTGTTAGCTTTCATTCCACCTTAACCCTGAATAAATTCAGAGCTTTGTGCTCCTGTTCCTTTAGCCAGTAGGTCTCCTGGATTCTGCAGGACAAACTACACAACCCTGTTGATTTGTTTCATTACTAAGACAGGGTCTCCAGAGTCATGTGGGTCATCAACCAGGAATAACAAACTTTTAAATGTCCCTGGGTCAGATACCTCTCTCACTTCCCTGAGATTATTTTAGACATTTATGAATGCATCTAATTTCTGTAATGCAAAGTCCTTACCAATTACCACTTTAATCACTTTAAAAAAATACCCAAAGCTGAAGGAACTTAAACCCTAGGAGCCCTTTCTTACTTATCCAAGAGGGTTGCATGCTTTCTGTGTTTCCATGTCTCCCTACTTAATACTATTCTGTAATTGTTTTTACTTTTTTCATCTGTCTTGCTAATTAGTTACTTAAGACCCAGTTCCTATCTTTTTGTGTGTGAAGACACAAAAACTAGCACAGCACTTCACAGATAACAGGCATTTAATTTTAGTTGAGTAAATTTATTTAAAAATATTTACTATAATATTTCTTCTCTTTCATTTCACCCACCTCTATAAAAGATTTTCTTATTGTAATATGAAATACCACCAAAATAGCTTTTTCTTTGTCCTCTTTTAACCCCTTAGAAAATAAAACAGTTTAATTTGTTTTTGATCCTAGATTAAAATCTAGCTTTTAGTTTAACTAATTTAAATTTTTTGATATGCCAAATTTCAAAATAATATTTCCAAAAATATTATATTTTAGTAAAAAAATTATGAGTATGTAAACACATATATCACATATAAATATAAAAAAGGAAGAATAGTTACTCACCTAATTGGTAATAGTGGTGATTTCTAGGGAGTAGTATTGGAAGAAGTTTATTTCTTACATTACAAATATTTATACTACTTGTATTTTCTACAAGGAACATGAATTACCTTTATTTTAAAGCTTGTGAGTACTTCTTATAATTTTTTAAAATAAATCTTAATAAAAAGCAGAACTTCTGTTTGTAAAGAACAAAGGTATTTCAGAGTGGAATTTCACCATAACATTATGAATCTAATGAGATTCTCCTCCTAAATAAGAAAACTTTCTTAAAGAGGGTCTAAGATGAACCTACTATATGTAAAATTCTAAGAAAATGCCATAGGTTTCAAATGTATTTATTAAATTTCTGAAGGAGTTGCTTCTTTTAACCTGCTGCTCACACACACCAACACTCAAACAATAACTTCAAACTAATTTATTATAATTAATTTTTTCTGGAATCATTTTAAAGTTGTCAGTGAAAGCCTTCTTGAAAGAGTTTTCTTCATAGCAATTTCCAAAGCACTTATTTTTAAAATCCAAACAGTGGTTTAGGATTCCAAATCAGCAACAATATGTGTTTAGACTGAAAAATTAAAATACATTTCAAACCAAATATTTCAAAATCAATTTCTTTCATGTTTACTCATCAATTCTTTGGTTCCGGGCTCTATGTTTTCCCTGAAACAGTTGACAGTTTTGCTTTTGGTATTAAATAACATAGGATTAGTTTGCCTGAGGGACCATCTGTTGTTCTACGCCCTGTCATGACAATTCTGAGGGCTTCAGAACTGCATTCTGTGGTTTCTCATTAAGGGGAGAATAAGAGTATTCTCTATCTTGAACCTAAGCCTCAGAAATGCTGTCCATTACATATGCATCAGAATATATTTGTGACATGTGTCAAGCAAGACAGGAGGTTTTTGTTTCATTTTATGTGAATATTACTTGATGCTCTAGCAGATGGGAAGGTAAGTTTTGTTTGCTTGTTTAAGTTTTTTTATTTCATTAGTCTGTGCCTTACAATGTGAATGTGTTATTTAACACTTAAACCATTTTCTCAATGTATGAATTACTGCTGATATTCCTGATCAAACCATAAGTAAAAACAAAGTATAAGTAAAAATAAAATAAATATGTATTATTTTCTAACAAGTTTAGGCAATCAGTACTCCTGTTCTTTCAAAGTTCGAAGAGAAGATGTCTGTCTTCCACCACAACTTCACAAATCCTTTGAGTCTTAGAAAGCTCAAAATAATATGAATCAAGTACACATACAATGAGGGTGTTATAAATAAGAGTAAACAAATTTGTGTTGATTCAGTAAGGAAAGATTAAGGAAACTTTTCCAACAGTCGTGTGTTTTGTACTAAATTACGAAAGGACTCAGCAGCATGTATTGGCAGAAAGGAATGTGTTAAAAGCTATCCCTGGGTCTACCCTAGAAGTCTTTTGCCTTTAAAAAAAAAAATCACATTACATTGACTTAAATACCAGTGCATATTTTGTTTTTATATTTATTATTTATATATGTGATTATTTCATTGTTTCATAATATAAACTAAATAGTACATTTTATTTATCAGACTCTCAGGTATCTATGGTGCATAATGCAAAACTCATGGGCCATGGGCCATGGGGGTGTGAAAAGATAAGAGTGGTCTAAAAGCCTCCCATAGGGTATACCCAAGAGTTAAGGGTTACCCTCAGAAATTAAAAAAAAAAAAAAGAGACCTAATATGAAATAGATGAACATAGTCATCTCCAGAAGTAGCAACCTTTAAAGATTCCATGTAAACATGTTTACAGATAAGCCCACAATAACCCCAGATTTCCAGTGAAAAGCCCACAGTGTCTCCAGGATTCAGTCATGATAACAAATTTAAATATGCCTTTCAACTCCAATTTAAGTCAATTGGCAAATTAAAAGGGAGAATTAAGCAGCTAACAATTTTACTATAATATGTCTGAGATAATTATTGTCTTGTTAAAACAGATGAGCTCCAAATGTAGGGTGAGACACAGGCAAAAGGGAAGAGTTGCATGTTCTGTATTTCCAAAAGATATAGACTTTGCTTCCAGCAGAAAAACTGTTCAAATGCCAGATATTTGATATGATGATAAATCACTTCTTCAAGCTTTTCCCTAGACTGAGTGAAATATCTCCCAAAACCACTGCAAACTCTTTGCTCCTATTTCATAGAGCATCCTTCAGGTTAAATTTTGTTTTCCAATTTCCTCCACATCTTGAAGGTAATGCCCTAAACATAGGACATAAGGATATCCCCGTAACAGATAAGTTAGCCCTGCAACTTATAAAACCTTCTCTAATAGGTTCAGGTAATATGCATTGAATGATCCAACAATGACCATGCGGAAACAAACTACAGTTTCCTGAACTTAAAATCTTATCTTATGAAAGGTAGCTCTAAAAGCGCCGCCTGCACCCCAGGAGCTGTGTGTACATATCATCTTTTAATACCACCATGAAGCCTAAAGCCATCAAGACAGAGGTCAGCTCCAGGGAGCTCAAAGCCTAGAAGAGGGGTTATATGTGTATAATTAACTGTGTCATAAGATAGAACGACTTGGCTATCATGATATTCAAGCAACTTGCAAATACTGACAAGAAGGAGGTTACATTTTACTAAAGGAGTAAGAGAAGCTTAATAAAGGAACCAGTTAGTCATCCAAAAAATATTTTTCAAGCACTGTGGCACTGAGCTGGGATTTGAGTTGTGACAGAGTGGATGGAAAGAAAATACCAAGCTAAAATAAAAAGAATGCCATCAGTAAAGTGCCGCAAATACTTAAGTAATTCAGGGATTCTCATTTGACTGATTTTACAATCTATAACAGAGAAAAGTCTATCAAGGTGAGTTGGTTTGAATACTAGTCCCGACCTGGTTTTCTTAATATACCAACCTAAGGAGTATGGACTTGATTTTATAAGCACGAGGAGAAGGATTACTTTGCACAGGGGTACTACCTGCTGGGTCTTGTCTG
Source organism: Homo sapiens (assembly GCF_000001405.40). NCBI lineage: Eukaryota > Metazoa > Chordata > Mammalia > Primates > Hominidae > Homo > Homo sapiens. The sequence continues at coordinate 97,410,949 of NC_000005.10, read as the reverse complement.
TGCTCCCAGATCACTCTGGCAGTTGGTAATGACAGATTTTGAACGGAAGAGGTGGTGAAGTCAGTGGGGAAGCTATTGTGGTGGTTGAGGTGAGAGTCAGTAAGGACATGGGCAAGCAGGGTACCAATAGGAATAAAAAGAAGTCAAGACATAGGCCATTATTAATTTCTACAGCAACACAATTGTTTTATTGATATGCTTCATTTGAATGTTTACTGTATATTCAAATCTTGATATTAAATTACAACTTCCAGTTACAATGAACTGGAAGAGAAAATCAATCAAAAAAGTAATTTGATAATATATGTTTATGATCCATTTATTGTGAAGCTCAGAAACAAAAGAAAAACCTGCCATTGTGGATACAATTATGTAATAGATCAGTAATCTTACCTGTTTTTAAAATATATAACTTTAATAAAATTGACTTGATTCTCTCTCTTAACTGAGAAAGTTACTGACAATTAAAATACCTAGTCATTCATAATGGAGGAATAGAAAGAGCTAAATGTGACTAATATAGAGACAGTGGAAAGGCAAATAAAGCTACTGAGATAGGAAGGAGTAGTAAATGTGAGGGCTCTTACATATGCCGTAGTACAGGATTAGAATCTCATTAAATGAAGAGTTAATAAAGGGCTTTAAATGAGGGGTGATAAAATCTTAGCAACTCTGCACTGAAAAAAAAAAAGAATCAAACTTTACACTCCCCAAATTCAGCTCAATTTCAGTAATATATGTAACATACCAAAATTTCCAAAGGGAATCCCCACATTCCAAAAACTTTCAAGTTTTATTAAAGAACAATAAAACATCCTCATATTTAAATAGTAGGATTTTATGCTTCTTATGCTAACAGTGTAAGCTGATTTCTCTAAGAATTTAATATAGGTACGAAACTAAGATATATTAATTTTTTACTGTTATAGTAATATATTTATCTAGTTATATGACATATCTAAATTTATTGTTTAATTAAAATTTGACAAAAGTAATCATTATTAAAACATTGCATACTTAAGGACTAAAGATGAAAGCATCATCCTTTTCTATAGTATATTGGTAGTTTGGTTACTTGCTTTAAACCCAGTAAAAGAAAAGCCACCATACAGAGTGCCACCTACTCCTTTGCTCCTTCCCCTTGATCCCAAAAATTTATCATGTGTCATCGTTTTCTGCATGGTTATTTAGGAGAAAAGATACTCGTTTTTGTTTTTAGAACTCTCTCCAGACTTTATTCTCTTAGTAGTAAATTGCTTCAAACATATTGGTTGGTATTTAATCCTACATTAAATAAAGTCCAAATGTGTGTGTTTAAGTGCCTCATCATATTCAGTGGAAAAGGTTTAATTTCTTTCTCTAGAGAATATTGCTGAAGAGTTTGTCTTCTTTACTGTTGTATCTAAATGGTTTTTTAATTGTATTTTTAATTGACAAGTAATAATTGCACACATTCTTGGATGCATAGTGATGTTTTGATACAATACTATATAGGAATCAGATTGGGCTAATTAGCATATCCATCATTTCAAACATTTATCATCTATTTGTATTGGGAGTATTCAATATCTTCCTTCTAGCTATTTGAAGCTATATATTAATAGTATTGTCTCCTATAGTCATCTTACAGTAATATAGAACACTAGAACTTATTCCTTCTACCTAGCGTAATATTGCATCCTTTAACAAATGCAAAGAAGTATTTGAGAATGCTAATATGGAATTTTTTGCAATCAAAATTCCAATGTTGAAATATTTCTAGAGATCATGTAGCATAACATCCCATTTTTTTGCAGCTGAAGGTAAATTGAGGCTCAGAGCATTTAAATGGCCTACAATTTTATGCATTCAGCTTTTTCAGGAACTAGGAATCAAACCCAGGACTCAAAGTATAGTGGTTTTTTTAGTTTTGTAATTTGCTGATGGGTTGTACTTTATAGTATCACACAACTGCTTGACCAAAATTTGGCATGGCTCAGCAATTGTCTATTCCTCCTTCTGTAGATGTGATCTTGAATGAAACTATTGTCTACATTGCCAGCACTTTTTTATTTCACAGAACTGGCTACCATGCTCTGTTAATTCTGCTTTCAAATAAATTTTGAAGCTGCTACTTCCTCATTACCCTAAATAATGTTGATATAATTTAGGCAGCTACCATACCCTACTTTGATTACTATTATGGATGATGGTGGCAGCCTGTCTCAAGAGGCTGCTGTGAGGACACCAGCTGCAGTGGGAGAGGCACAGCTGGGGCTACACACTCCGTGGAGCCAGTGGGGGCAGGAACAGGTGACACCAGCAGGAACCCCATGCCTTACCAAGTTAGTGGGGTGGCAGCCCAAGCTCCCGGGTGCAACTGCAGCCACCCAGCGGTGGCTCTGGACCTCGGCATCTCTGTGCTCTTGGGGGTCCGAGAAGCCCCCTACCCCCCACTCTCAGAAGTGTCTGCTCCACTCCCTTGCCTTTCCCTGTTCCCAGCACCCACTTCAGCGTGGAGCAAAGTTGTGGCTAAGCCTGAGTGCTGTCGCTACCCAGCCAGATGTGTGTGCGCTTGGGGTGGTGCTGATGTGTCCGGAATTGGTGGGTTCTTGGTCTCACTGACTTCAAGAATGAAGCCGGGGACCCTCGTGGTGAGTTTTACAGTTCTTAAAGGCGGCGTGTCCAGAGTTTGTTCCTTCTGATGTTCAGATGTGTTCAGAGTTTCTTCCTTCGGGTGGGTTCGTGGTCTCGCTGGCTTCAGGAGTGACGCTGTAGACCTTCCTGGTGAGTGTTACAGCTCATAAAAGCAGTGTGGACCCAAAGAGTGAGCAACAGTAAGATTTAGTGCAAAGAGCAAAAGAACAAAGCTTCCACAGCGTGAAAAGGGACCCCAGCAAGTTGCCATTGCTAACTTGGGCAGCCTGATTTTATTCCCTCATCTGGCCCCACCCAGATCCTGCTGATTGGTCCATTTTACAGAGGAGCTGATTGGTCTGTTTTGACAGGGTGCCTGGTGCGTTTACAATCCCTGAGATAGACGCAAAAGTTCTCCAAGTCCCCACTAGATTAGCTAGACACAGATTACTGATTGGTACATTTACAAACCTTGAGCTAGACACAGGGTGCTGATTGGTGTGTTCACAAACCTTGAGCTAGATACAGAGTGCTGATTGGTGTATTTACAATCCCTTAGCTAGACATAAATGTTCTCCAAGTCCCCAGCAGATAAGCTAGATACAGAGTGCTGATTGGTGCATTTACAAACCCAGAGCTAGGCACAGGGTGTTGGTGCATATATAATCCTCCAGCTAGACATAAAAGTTCTCCAAGTCCCCACTAGACTCAGGAGCCCAGGTGGTTTCACCCAGTGGATCCCACAGGTGGCGGCAGGTGGAGCTGCCTGTCAGTCCCGTGCCTTGTGCGCTGGTACTCCTCAGCCCTTGGGCAGTTGATCGGACCGTGGCGCAGAGCAGGGGTCATTGCTAGTCGGGGAGGCTGCCGCTGTGCAGGAGCCCAGGGTCGCGGGGGAGGCTCAGGCATGGCAGGCTGCAGGTCCCAGCCCTGCCCCGCAGGGAGGCAGCTGAGGCCCAGCGAGAAGCAGCGCCAGTGGGCTGGCCGGCACTGCTGGAGGACCCAGCGCACCCTCTGCAGCTGCTGGCCCGGGTGCTGAGCCCCTCACTGTCCGGGCCGGCGGCTCCGAGTGCGGGGCCGCGGAGCCCACGCCCACCCGGAACTCGTGCTTGCCCGCAAGGGCGCGCAGCCCCAGTTCCTGCCCACACCTCTCCCTCCACACCTCCCCGCAAGCTGAGGGAGCCGGGTCCGGCCTCGGCCAGCCCAGAAAGGGGCTCCCACAGTGCAGCGGCGGGCTGAAGGGCTCCTCAAGCGCCGCCAGAGTGGGCACAGAGGCCGAGGAGACGTCGGGAGCAGGGGAGGGCTGCCAGCACGCTGTCACCTCTCACTGACACACCAACACCATGCCACTTCAGCCCCCTGGGGACTTTGAACACCGACAAGTGTGGGGGGGAGGCCAGGGTGGCTTGGTGTGGGTCTGTGGGCGCCCCTCAGAAGGGACAGTGTGGGTGCTGTGAATGGCATGTTAATGGCAGGGGAATGCAGACAGGTTCCCATGTGGAAAGGGGAGGGTACTTGGTGAAACCCCACTTTCAAGCCAGGGATCACCTGAAGCCTGGGTGCCAGGCTGCCCATTAGGGTGGAGCCCACAACCGGGAGCGAGAACTTCCTTGATGCCTTTTGGCCAATCAAGTGGTGTTTTTTCCAGGCCTGCCGATGGGCACCCATGCACCAATCAGCACACACTTCCTTCTGCCCATAGACTAATAAGCATGCACTTCTTCCACTCTGAGCCCATAGAAATCCAGGACTCAGCCAGACTCAGACACTCCCAGGATGACCTGCTTGTGAATAGGAGCTAGCCATTTCACTGAGAGCTATTCTGTTGCTCAATAAAGCTCCTCTCTGCCTTGCTCACTCTCCAGTTGTCCACATAACTTCATTTTTCCTAGATGCAGGAAAACAAGAACTCAGGACCTGCCGAACGGTGGGAGCTAAAGGGGCTGTAACATGTTCGTGGCTGGCTCACCAAGCTGTGGGCTTGGTGAGTGGTGGACAGTGGGAGTGAAGAGTGGTGATCCTTCTGGGGGCCCAGACCTTAGGATTCCCGAAGCCAGAGCTGCTGTAACACTATGGTCTTCCTACCCTCTGCCAGAGCCCAGCAGCAGCCCCCACACAACAGGAAGCAGCTCCGGGGCTGGGCCAACCCAGGAGCCATGGACCGAAGCAGGGCAGTGGGACCGAAAGAGCTGTAAAACAAATGGGCTAAAACACGTGCCCGCGAAACACATCCCCCAAGTCGCCACACTGCAGGCAACAAGAAGGAGAGAAGAGCTGCAGCCCTTCTGGGAGCCCAAACCTAGGTTTCCCTGAGCCAGGGCTGTGACATGCTGTAACACCCGTTTGGGGGCTCTGCAGTTCCTGGCATCTCTGAGCTTTCAGGCATCACCACTTTCCCCTTGTCCAAACACTGTGCCCATAGCAGAAGCCGTTTTTGGTACGTCTGGTCCAGCTGCAGCCTCCCACAGAGCTGGCGCCTGTGGGAGCACCTGGAGCTGTCTATCCCACTGCAGCAAATGGCATGCACAGTGGCCAGACCCTGGACTTTCTCGCTCACACACCCCTCACTGCTCCGACCTGGTTCCTCTTTGGCAGGTGTGTTATCTCGGCCAAGCACAAGCCAAGTACAGCCTGCCAGGCCAAATGGGCAAAATGAGCCCAGTGGGTGTGAGCAAAACTCCAACAGAGATGCTGCTGGCCACAGAGGTTTCTGGCTGGCAAAGCGACACCCAAATGATCTCGTGACATTTCAATATCCTTATATCCAGTTTCTCCTTCAACCTAATCCCACACTTGTTCTAGAATGAACTTTTAAGATTATAATTCTTATCATTATCTGCCATTTTAAAGTCATCCAATGGCTGACCATTACCTTAAGGATAAGTCGAAGAGTATCAGATACGACACAATCTGGCCCCTGATCATATCCTCCATCATCACCTCCTTGTCCCATAAGTACAATTTCCTGAACGTGGTATGCTATCTTTTGCCTCCTTTGTTAGCGCTCCTTAGAATACATTCCTCCTTATTACATAGCTAACTCATTCTCAAATTTCAAGATACCCTCAAGTGAAACTTTCTCTGGAGAGTCTTTACTGGCATTCCTCCAACATGTGAAGGTGTTAGATGGTTCACTTCTAAGTTCCCAACGCACCTTGGGCACTAATCAATCATGGCACTTACTCAACTGTAATATAACTGTAAATTTACATGTTTATCTTTTCCATTAATCTTGAGCTTCTAAAAAGCAGGGACCTACTTCCATCTCCACATCACTGGAACCTAGCACAAAAATTTATTTGCTGAATAGATGAAGAAATAATTTAAGATGACTAAATGAAGAATGAATAAAAGAGTCTATAAGGCAAATAAAACAGAAACCCATACATACAAATACAATTGTTATGTAGACTGCCATCAGAGAAGTTAATTTGTTACACAGTCCCCATAGGTAAAAGAAATATGTAAAGTTTGAGTCTATGTTATACCCACTGCAAAACAGAAATTTATTATAAACAAAACTTATTTTTGTGGGAATATGTTTAGTAGTAAACTTCACCTGCATTTAAAGTGTTTTGATCTTTAAACTAAAAAGCCTTTTAAGAGTGCTGAAGTCCTCAACATTAAATGCTCACTTTTTAAACTCCTGACCATGAGATTCTACTTCTACCCTTTTGATCAACTAATGAGATATCCATTAGAGCCAGATATCTCATGAATAGAAAATGTTGCATACTACCTTCTGGGATTGTTGCAGTAGGCTATCATCAGTGCAAGTGCTATAAAACTTTGGTGTAGAAGTTATGAACTAATCCTAAGTAATACTAAGAGAACACAAATGCAATAGAGAAGAGCATCAATCAGAAGAAAAGGATGTATCTCGCACCCTTTCTATCTCTGGCTAAATGCTACAGCAAGTCTTCTCTGATCTTTTCTATGACCTTTTCAAGTACTAATTATTTTTTTAATGTTCTACGAATACGAATACATGTTTGTCATTGCCCTTCCTATGATGCATTATAAGATATTAGCAAAGCAAAAGAGATTTGATATTGAAGGTTTAACTGCACAACTTTTGCATACACTTTAATAGGCAAGGCAAAACCTTCTCAGCAGGTGCACTATGAGATGAAGTGATTTTCATGAATAATTCATTTTTATTTTTTTTAAAAAAGGTACCTCTGCTAAGATACAAAGTGCAATAATGTTTTTCAAGAGAAATCAGTGAAAATTCGAAGCTGTCATTGCCAATTTGTTTTAGTTCAGATTCAAAAGGTCACCCACTTGACACAATGAAAATGAAAAATGCCCGTTTCTTTTTTTCAAGTCAGCATGCTATGCTCCATATTTTCTATCTAAAATGTTTTTGAAGCCTAAAGAGTAAAGAATTTTATGAGATCTAATAAAAATTTATACTACCACAGAGAAAAAAATTTATAGAACTTCCTTCAAAAATCAATTTCAATAGAATAATATAAAAATGTGGAAATCATCTCAGGATCCTTTGCTGTAAAATGCCTAGAATTTATATTAAAATGCCATCTTACACTATCATGGACCAGGAAGTTCTGTGATTCAAATCATGGCCTGTATAGACTATCATTAAGAATGTTTCCCTTTTTATTTTCTCTGAAAGATAATAACTTCCCATAGAAGCTTTTACATATATTATACCTTTCCATACCCAAGATTATAAGGCAGAGCAGATAATAATGTCATTTTTTAAGATGAGGAAATTGACAACATAAAAAATCCTGAGGCAACACACTCAGAGTCACAAAACTAAGTGGTGAGGTCAAGAACCATGAATACAAAACTTTTATCAAGTGCTATGACTGCCCAGGACACCAGAATTACTATTCCTATGGGGTTTTCATTTAATAGAAAGCACTTTTGAATTGTAGGTAATAGAGTCCATGCTATATGCCAAATGCAATAAGGATATATTCTTTCCAAATTTTAGTTTTAAGAGGCAAAATAAATGAAAATGTAAGACATTCTGAATACATGTATTCTGAATTGTTTACTCCTAAAATATAAAATTTGGATAGATTATATTCCTTATTTAATAATATTAGACTATATTCCTCATATAAGAGAAATTTTCTCCAGAAACACTTTTGTATCAACACTTTTCATCTCAGCTATTACTTAATAACAACATAAAAAATAATCTAAGCCCTAATGGTTTTCTATGAAGCATATCAGCATAGGTCAGAGACCACAAAAGTTAAGGAATCCTTTCCAAGAGATCAAACAAGAGAAAGAACTGACCTTTGTTTTCAACAGAAGAAAAAAAATGGGATATCAAGTAATATGGTAAAACAGGTTCATATCATAATAATCATTATAACCTTACTTAATTGGCTTTATGAAAGCAAGGGTATATGAAATCCTGATGACTTGGAAATGTTTTTAGAAGCTCTGTTCTTCTAGGGATTGGGAGGCTGTGGTGGCTACTGATGCTAACACAAGTGGAAGCAGCAGGAATTGAACTCAGTTCCATTAATTCTCAGTTCCAAATTAGTTTTCAGTTATCAGCAACTTCAAATGATAGTAGTTATCTATCTCCTCCAGAAAGCATTTTCTCCTTTCCTTCAGCTGCAGGTCCTCCATTGAATTATTTTGCTTCATCATTCACATTTCTTACAGCCTCAGAAAGAGAGGATACTTTTCTAACAGTGACCCCCCAGTTTCCTTCTTCCACTTCTAGGGCACCATCAGAGATACCATAAACAAACTTGAAACACACATGCATCACAACATGGCAGAGATCAAAGAAGAAGCAGTCACATGTGAAGAGGAGCAAATTTGAGAGGTATCCTGGCTTAATAACAATGCGCTTTTGGGAATTTACCCATTCCCATGAAAACTAATACAGTCAAGAAAGCAAAAACTCATTCATTACTGTGAGAGTTACACCAAGCCATTCATGAGAGACTTGACCCCTGAACCCAAATACCTTTCACTAGGGCTTACTTCCCAATATTCAACATGAGCTTCGATGGGAACAGACATACCATATGCAAGACATAGTACTGACTAACCATATGCCACTATTATCAACTGACTCTGGTAGTACTTTCTTGTCAATATATCTGAAACTTAAGTGTCAATAGTCTGAAAAGCTATTCTAAGGGCACAATCTGAGTTTTAGACTAGAGTGCTAAGAAAGCACTAAGGCCATACTTTTGAACTCCTTAAAGGAGATCCACAAAGTACCAAAATCTCAATTAGTCTTATAAATAAATGTACCCAAGAACAAGAAAGACTAAGCAAGAGAGTACAGATATAAAGTATTGTTAACCTTCACTGGACAAACACTATATGCCAGAAACTGTGCCAAGCAATGGTGATAGAATGATGAATAGGACAGAAAATGGGAATAACTCCTTCTTTACATAAAGCTTAGAATCTAGCTGAAAATATAGACTATTAATAAAATAATTAAAACAACGTGTAATGAGTGCCTTGATAAAGAAATTAAGAGTGGAACATTTACCAAGATAGGCTATATTGTAAGTCATAAAACACACCTTAACAAATTTCAAAGAATACAAATTATACCAACTATATTCTCAGACCACAGTGAAATTAAACTGGAAATATAACAAAAAGATAGCCAGAAAGTTCCTGAATATTACAAATTAAATGAAACACTTCTAGACAACACATGTGTCAAAGATGAAGTCTTAGAGAAATTTTTAAATATTTGGAACAAAATGAAAATTAAAATACAATTTATAAAAATGTGTGGGAAGAAGTAAAAGCAGTGCTTATAGGGCAATTTATATTATTGAATGCAGCATATATTAGAAAAGAAGAAATATCTATGAACAGTAACCTAAGCCTCCACCTCAGAAAACTAAAGAAAGAAGAGCAATTTAAGTCTGAAGCAAGCAGAAGAAAAGAAATAATAAAAATTAGAACAGAAATCTATTAAATGAAAAAGAAGAAAACAAGAAAAAATTAACAAAAACAAAAGCTAATTTTTGAAAAGATTAATAAAGTCGATATAAACCTTTAGCCAGAGTAACTTGGGGGAAAAAAGGCACAAATTACAAATATCAGTAAGGAAAGACAGGTCATTCCTACTCATGCCATGGACATTAAAATGATAATAAAGAAATAATACATACAATTTTATGTCTGAAAATTTGGTAATGTGGGGAAGTTTAAATTTTCTTTCTGAAGTTTTGATAACTGAGTCTGCTAAGATATGCTAATAAAAGGCAAATTAACAGAGGAAATGGCAAATAAATTTATTAATGTGCAAGTACATAGGAATCACACAAAAGATGAAACTCAAGAAACAGCTAGATGGTTGAAGCTTAAAAATCCTCTTCTTAGTGGGGAAGAAAGTGTGGAATGCAGACAATTTGAAAGGAAGAGTAAATGATTTTTAGGGGAGATGAACGGGCCTGTAGCACAGAAAACAGCCTGGGACAAAGTTCCTCCAGACTGTGTGGGAGGTGGTGACAGTTACGAAAAGGTGAGGGGTAGAACTGCACTACAAACAAAGATTGCCAAACTATGCAGATAAAGTCTCTCAGGTAACAGCCTTCAGAAGAATAGATAAAACATCTGCCTAGGTGGACATGACAATAACCTTTAGTTTCATCTTTTGTGATTCATCTTCCCTGGTTAATGAGATTTCACACAGGGGATTGATTGCCATTGTGTTTGTTTTGAAAGAACTTTCCTTAGTCAAATAAAGGGAATTTCAGACAGACGCCCTGTCTGCACTGGGAAAGAAACAAGGGAAGGTCAGAGAGACATTGATTGTGAGGCAGCTTCAAATGTCTTCCAATTTCTTTTCATTCAAGGTGCTCAGCGTGCCAAAGCACCAAACTATGGTACTCCTAATAGTAACATAAATAAAATGAACAAACTCCTTGAAAGACACAAAATACCAAAACTTATACCAGGAGAAGAGAAAATCTTAGTAGGCCTATATTTATTTTAAAAATTGAAACCATGAGGCCCAAATGATTTCACAAATGATTTCTACCAAACATTGAAGGAAGGCAATGTTTCACAATCCCTTCCAAAAATAGAAACAAAGAGAACACATTCCAATTTATTTTTTAAGACCAGCGTTACCGCATACCAAAATGAGATAACATAGGAAATAAGAACTACACTCCAATATCTCTCATAAACATAGATGCAAAAATCCTCAACAAAATATTAGCATATTGAATCCAACAATATAAAAAAGAATTTACACATTTCAGGTAGAGCTGGTTAACATAACAAAGATTAATCAATGTAATCCACCACATCAATACACTAAAGAAGAAAACTTGTGTTATCATATCAATTAATGCAAAAAAGCATTTGATAAAATTCAACACCCATTCACAATAAATTTAAAAATAAAACTCTCAGCAAATTAGGAATATAAAAAAACTTCCTAAACCTAATAAAGAACATCAACAATTACCTATGGTAATTGTCCAACAGGTTCTTCCTGGCTGCTGCACAAACAATATCAATTTACTGAGACTACAGCATTGGAATAAAGGGTTTAATAGACATGAGGCTGGCCCACCTAGGAGAACTAGAGTTATCACTCAAATCAGTCTTCCTAAAGGCTCAGAAGTTAGGGGTTTTAGGGACAATTTGGTGGGTAGGAAATGGGTGCTGCAGATTGATTTTGGATGAAATCGTAGGGGTGTGGAAAATGGTCCTCATGCACTAAGTCTCCTCTGTATGGGGCCACAGGATCAGTTGAGTCATGAGCCACAAGTCTGGGTGGAGTCAGTCTGAAAAACATCTCGATAAACCCAATCAGGTTCTATAATAGTGATGTTATCTATAGGAGCATTTGGGGAAGTCACAAATCTTATGACCTCTGGCCACATGACTCCTGAGTCGTAATGGGTCATAGAAACTATGTAGATAGAGTTCAAGACCTTCTCATAATCCTAACTGTCAGGCCTCTGAGCCCAAGCCAAGCCATCACATCCCCTGTGACTTGCATGTATACGCCCAGATGGCCTGAAGTAACTGAAGAATCACAGAAGAAGTGAATATGCCCTGCCCCACCTTAACTGATGACATTCCACCACAAAAGAAGTGAAAATGGCCAGTCCTTGCCTTAAGTGATGACATTACCTTGTGAAAGTCCTCTTCCTGGCTCATCCTGGCTCAAAAAGCTCCCCCACTGAGCACCTTGCGACCCCTACTCCTGCCTGCCAGAGAACAAACCCTCTTTGGCTGTAATTTTTCTTTACCTGCCCAAATCTTATAAAACGGCCCCACCCCTATCTCCCTTCGCTGACTCTCTTTTTGGACTCAGCCGGCCTGCACCCAGGTGATTAAAAGCTTTATTGTTCACACAAAGCCTGTTTGGTGGTCTCTTCACACGGACACCCATGAAACTAACCTTGTGGATTTTCATTAGTTTTACAAACATGTTTAATTTTGGGAAGAGTTATTATCATCTTTGTTTTAAAGTCAAACTATAAACTAAATTCCTCCCAAAGCTAGCTTTGGGAATGGCCAAGGACAGCTTGGAGGTCAGAAGCAAGATGGAGTCTACTATGTCAGATTCACTTAATGTCAGAATTTTGTAAAGGCAGTTTCACTATAACTAACATCATACTTAATAATGATAAAAAGGACCCTTTACAAGTATTGTCGAAAATAAAGCAAGGATGTCTGCCTTCATCATTCTGATCTAACATTATACTATAAGTACTAGTTAGTACAATAAGAAAGGGAAGTAAAACAAGAAAGGGAAGTAAAAGAAAAACAGATTGGAAAGGAAGAAATAAAACTATCTTAATTCCTATATGAAATGATTATGAAGAAAATAGTCCAAAGAATCAACCAAAAAATTCCTGGATCTAATAAATGAGTATAGCAAAGTATCAGAATAGAAGGTTAATGTACAAAAGTCAATTGCTATTCTATATACCAGCAATGAACAATAGGAATTTTTTTTAAAATACCGTTTGTAATAGCACCCAATAACAGGTAAAATAATCAGGTATATCTAATGGAAATGTACAGAATACATGTGCAGGAAAGAAAATCTGATGAAAGAAATCAAAGGAAGCTCTAATGGACAGATATTCCATGTTCATGGATTGAAAGACTCAATATCGTTAAAATGTTAGTTCTTCCCAATTTGATCTATAGATTAAATGCAATCCCAAGCATAATCTCAATAAGCTCTTCTGTAGTTGTAGATACACTTACTCTAAACTTTAAATGAAGAGGGAAAAGATCCAGAATACAATGCAATGCTGAAGAAAAACCAAGTTGGAAGACTCATACTACCCATTTCAAGACCTACTATAAAGCCACAGTAAGAAAGACAGCATGGCACTGGAAAGAGAGTACACTGAATGGAATAGAATAGAAAGCCCAAGAATAGACCTATGCAGGTACAATCAACTGATCTTTGACAAAAGATCAAGGGTAATTCAATGAAGAAAGGAGAGTCTATTCAACAAATGGTGCTGAAAACAATGAGACATTTATATGCAAACAAAAAGGAGAAAGAATCTAGACACAGACTTTAGACCTTTCACAAAAGTTAACTCCAAATGAATAATGGATCTAAATGTAAAATGCAAACTATAAAACGTCAAGAAGAAAACACAGGATATATAGAAATTTAGGTGACCTTGGGTTTGATGAAGACTTTATATACCATACCAAAACCATGATCCATTAAAAAAATTAAGTTGGTCTTTGTCAAAATTTAAAACATCTACTCTATGATAAAAACTATTATAAAAATGAAAAGAAAAACACAGACTGTTAGGAAATATTTTCAAAAACACATATCTATTAAAGAATTTCTATCCAAAATATACAAACAACTCTAAAACTTAATAAGAAAACAAACAAACAAATTAAAAAATAGGGGAAGAATCTGACTAGACACTTTACCAAAGAGGATGTTGTTGGAGTTCATGAAAGATACTGCAAAGTATGGCATTTTGAAATGCTGAGCACTTTGAATTAAAGAGAATTAAAAGGCCTTAAAAGCATCCTCAGAGCCAAGGACTTTTTGACCTTCTCTTGATATCTACCCCCAAGCAAGCAATAGAACTGTATGCAAAGTTCACTTATCTGAGGCTCCTCCAGAAGGAAGATAATTGCCTTTGATCTCTTCCCTAAACTCTTACTAACCAGGGAAGATTAAACTCATATTGCAGAAAGGATGACAGAGGAATGTCACTATACCTAGGCAGACTTTGTCACAAGCTATTGTCTGTTCTTCAGTACCATTCAATTTCTAAAGAGAATCATTTATAAACTATTGTCTGCTCTTTGAGTCTATTAAACTCTCCTAAAAATCATTTAATACCCCTCAAAATTGCCTACATTCCCCCATGTCACTCTCCTCTATGAAGAGGGTGCTATTTAAGCTTCAGCCATTTGATCCTTCTTTGTGTCTCATATTTTGGTGGTCTGGTGCATATTAATAAATTTGTGTGCCCTTCCTCATGTTAATCTATCCTTGTCCATTTATTTCATCAAATTCTAATCTTCAGAGAGAGAGGAAAACTCTCTTTGCCCCTACAATATATAGATGGCAAACAAGCATATGAGAAGAGTCTCAATACTATTTGTCTTTAGGGAATTGCAAATTAAAACAACATGTGATAGAGCTCAGGACATATTACTCCAAAATATGACCGTAGGTAACCAGAATATGTCCCTTTGGCATACTCATTATTTTGGATTGGTTATGTTGAAAAACTGCAGACATGGGAGTAGCTATGAAAATTTGCTCTTTCGTAAGAGAAACTTATCTCTAGAAAGAAAATCTCTATTTATAAGGGTGTCTTCCTCTCTGCAGCAGGAAGAGAATGATAACTAAATCACCAGAGACTTAACCAATAGAGACAGCATATGCTTACATCTGTACAATAAATCTTACCTTTGTTTTATGGTGCTTTTCCTGGCAATCTCCTCTTAACTGAGCCTTTCCTCACAAACTTTTTTGTTTCACAGGAAGTGATACTAAAGCCTAAAGCTTAAATGCACTTTTGAGTTTACTCTGGCGATTTACTCATTTCTCTGGGTTTTCTCCCAGAGAAATCAACATATATACAGGCAGTATATATGTTGATAAAATTCTGTTTTTCTCCTGTTAATCTCTGTTTTGCTACAGTGAGTTCCAGTTAAGAACTATAAAGTGTGGAGAGAAAATTATTTTTCATACAAATGAAATACCACTACATAATTTTTAGAAGTTAAATCCAAAAATTGACAATGCCAATTGCTGTCAAGGGTGCAGAGCAACAGGAGCTTTCATTCATTGCTGGTGGGGATGCAAAGTGGTATACTTTGGAAGATAGTTTTGATGCAGGGCAGAAGATGCCCAAAATTTGGGTTTAGCCCAGGAAGGTTTCTGGCTTCACTCAGGACAGAATTCGAGGGTAGGTTGGTAGTAACAGAAAACAGCTTTTTATTGAGGCAGCAGTGTTACTGCTGTGTGACTGCTCTTGCAGAGAAGGGCTACCCCATAGACAGTATGATGAGATTAGCAGTTCAGGGGCATTTATACCCACTTATAATTATGTGTAAATTAAGGGCCAGGTCATTCAGAAATTTCTAGAAAAGGGGCAGTAACTTCCAGGTGTTGCCATGGAAAAGGGTGTTAAGGTCTTGGTGTTGCCATGGCAATGGTAAACTGTCATGGTGCTGACAGGTGTGTCTTATAGATTCTCTTTGGCCAAGGTACTTAGAGTTAAAAGACTTTTAGCCAATTAAACATTCTAGGCCAATGGAGATGAGGAGGCACTCAGTAGCCCTTAAAATATTTTTGAGTCAAAAACTAAAAGACAAAAATAAGATTATATATCAGTAAAAACCAAGATTATAGAATCAAGCTATATTGGGGGGAAACATTGCTCCCAAAGACCTCTGAGACAAAACACTTTAGCATCAAGCCACAATTTTAGTCAGAATCAGAAGAGAAAAACTCACTGGAGATGATGAAAAAGGAGACAGCCGTTATTCCAGGCCTTCTTAAAGGGAGATAAACTTGGAAGTAAAACAATAGTTGAATATGTTAGACATTAATCTGAGAAGTTTTAAAAGAAATTGGTTATAGTTCTAACAGCAAAATTTCCTCTAATTTAGGAAATCAATACCTTAAGAAAGCCTGGTTCTAATATGGAGGCCATTTTCTAGAAAGTCTACCGCAAATAATTCTTCTTTAATCATAGCAAGCTTAATCCTAAACAAAATTACTTTTATAAATTCCCCTTCACAAGCCTTATCCTCACTTACGCAGACCAGCTACATTATGCTTGGACTTTCTGACTTGTCCTACATTTTCTACCTTCTTCTTAAATAGCCAATCATATTACCCTAGGACCAGGATTTACTATTCAAAATCCTTTCTCATATAAAATTACCCTTTTTTTACATTCTTCCTAGCCAAAAAAAAAATGCACTTTCTATCCATAACATTCTTTACATCTGTTTTCTACTAATTGGTTCCCTCATATTTTGAAACTCCCTTTTAATAATTTCCAAACTGACATATATATATTTATTTTTTTTCTTTTCCCAATAGACAGTACAATTTTTGGTATATTTTCTATAAACCTAGAAAGCAAGAAATCCTGAATTGCCCACCAGACATTGACATTTTATAGATGAGAACCATTTCACAATTTAAGATTTTTAACTACACAAAGCTCACTATTTAAGGCCATTTTAACCATTCTAAAGCCTATGGACATCAATTTATTATAAAGTTACATTTGAGAAGACACAACATTATTTTCAAACTAAAACGTTTAAACTAGCCTTATTTGTTTAATTTATGAGTGAGTTTATAAACCAATTTGGTTTATAAACCAATTTGATAGCATCCTAGACATAACACCCATCACAATACCTGTATATACACATAAACAAACATATCAAACAAAGTGACCTACACAATACAACTGGATCCAAGTTGTTTACAAAATTGGAACCTGTCTACCTGGCCAAATTTTGTTTGCCCCAATAGGTATGGAAAACAGAAAGAGTCAGGGAAGAGGATCCCATAGCATTAAGTAAGGAAGGGAGGGGGCAAAGTATATTACTCAAAGGGAGATCCTGGAATCCCTAAACCACTGGAGGGCTCACCGGGCAGTGGAAACACTGAAGAAAAATGTTTGAGTGGCCACTTGTCTGCCACTGCAGAAAGCTGTTCATCAAGTCAAGTGTCGAAGACCCCTAGTAAACGTACTTGAACAAGGTAGCTTGTTGGGGCCAGTGGAAGAAGGTTGGCTCTAGTATTGATGGGGAGCTTTTTTTCTCTCTCACGGGGGGATGGTTAAGACATTCTCATTGTCAATAGCCCTTTTGCTTATACTACACACACTGATTCTAGCCCAGGGGCCAGAGAGTCAGGAACTCTTCTTTGGGCATTTCAGATGCCAATCTTGTGACACTTTCTTGGGACGGGTAACCCTGAGAGGGTAGGGAGCTTAATGAAACTGTTAATAATTGCATTTTTTGGCTATTTCCTTTTTTTTTTAACCTCTTTTGCCCTATCCCTATTGTAAACTTTAGAGGTGATGATTAAGAGTTGGCTCATAGAGGTTTGGGGTCCCATTGCTGCTTTCTAAAGCTTCCTTCTAATACCAGGGGTAGAATGAATAATAAAATACATACCAAGGAGAGCTTTCCCTTAGGGGTAGTCTGGGTCTGTATTCATATATTTCTGAATGCCTCAACCAAATGACCCTGAAACAGAGCAGGATTTTTGTCTTTTCCCTGACTTAATTTCTTTAACCTTGTCATAATTAACTGGCTTAACTTTTTTTTCCTACAACACAGTAAGTATGTGACAATACTTGCAAGTCTTGACAAATTAAAGCACATGGTCACCTTAACAAACATCTCTATGAACTTTTTTGGATCCTCTGAAAATCGCCCATATTTTGACTGGAGAAAGCCAAATCACACTTAGAAAATTGGACATATATTCCAAGTGTTACTTTATTTCCATCAGCTACCTCCTGCAATCGACACAGGTTCGATTTTAGACACTGATGTGGGACCCCACTCCTGGTGGTACTGTTTGAGCTTACTTTCTTCTCAGGCAGTAGGAGCTATAAGCTAGGGCTAGTGGATAAGGGGAAGGGGTACCTGATGGCCCTGGGGTGGAATCCTTCATTAGAGAACTAGTGAGATTCCCCCTGACCAGAATTGAGGGACTGAAGAAGATCCACGGAGCGTTAGGGCTTCTAGGGAGAGAAGCTAGGAGGAGATCCCTTAGGGATAGCTCAGGGGTAGCTTCCTGGTGGTGGAAGTAACATAAACAAGTAAAGGGTCATAAAAGCCTGTACATAAGGTACCTCCTCCCATTATCCTTCTTATTTACAGAATGAATCTAATTGTAAAATAACATTACATGCCTAGGCCAGATGTGTTGGTTTTCTACTGTGTAATGGACCCAAAAAGTGTTGCAATAGAAAATGAGTTTCTTTAAGCCAAATTTGAATTTGCTCTAGTAGCCTAAAAGACACCCTAGTGGAGAGTCCTCTGGGGTGCTCATCATTGTCCCCATGTCTAACAAGGATTTCTACAGGACACAGAAGACTTTCTAAATCTAGTAAGAGGGAAAGCAACTAGGCCCTTGCTATTTTTCCCTTTTAGTTTCTCACTTCCTGCAAAGAAGGTGTAAGTATAGTTAGCAAGTTATGAGAGTAGATTATAAGTGTTTGCCAGTAAACAAAATATGACAAAAGAAGTATTTTTTAACTAAGTGTAGAAGGAAAAGTGTAAATAAAGTGACAAGAAAAAAAATGCTGTTGTGAAAAATAATAACTTTAGAGCCAAAAACAAGAGAAGGCAAGACCAAGTTTCCCCCAAGATTCCCCCAGGGTGGGCCTCCAACCCACATTCCTAGAAGAAATGCCACTGTCAAAAACCCTGGAGAATCCAGGGAGCAACTAAAAATACCAAATGTCTAAAATCCACAGTACCTGAATATCGGCCAGTGAGGGTCTCCACAACTAATGCAAGAAAACCCAGAGTATCTGGGAGCCAACCAATGCTGAAAACCCCAGAGCACCCAGGGGGTAGCCAACAGAACCCCAAAGGCATGGCTGGGGCCACAGAACAATGTGACTCTGGCATTTCAGAGTCCTGCAAAAAAAACATTAATTTTAGGACTGAAAATAAAATGACTGGTGGTGCAATAAAATGGAGTCAGAAGAAAAAGGACCAGGGGAAGGGGTAACAAGGGTGTGTTTCAGGGCATTCAAATGACAGGGGACTTTAAATTGACCACTTAGCCAGAGGCTTTTATTCCCTAGCTCACCCAATATTATGGGAATTGGGGAAGTGGGGACACTCATCAATCCACAGGAGCCAAAATGGTGCTGATGAATCTTCTGCATGGGACCCAAGTGAGCTTTCTTCAGGTTCCCAAGGTTGGGTAGGCTCAGCTGTTGCAGTGGGAGTGCCAGCACAGGGACCAGTAACCCACTAGCCTGCTGGTCAGAGTGGCAGGTATTGTATAAGGCAGCAGTACTATGATCACTTGCCTGTCCACTCACCTCCACCGCCTGTCTGGAAAAATGAGGGCTCTGAAAAGAGCCTTTGCTTAGTGCTATAGCTCTTGCAGTGT
This sequence comes from Homo sapiens, assembly GCF_000001405.40. Taxonomy (NCBI): domain Eukaryota; kingdom Metazoa; phylum Chordata; class Mammalia; order Primates; family Hominidae; genus Homo; species Homo sapiens. Next base: position 97,391,727 of record NC_000005.10, on the reverse strand, counting down.
GAGCAGCTCTTCAGTGTTACAACTCTTGAAGCCTCAGTCACTGACCACTTTACCATCTTTCTCCTCTTTGCTCATCATCTCACTGGTCGCTGTCTCTTGCCATCATCTTGCCAACTATAACCACTGCTTCTCTCACCGTCATCTTCTCTCTTCAGCCCCACTTTGGGCACCACTTGATGTAGGGTGAGCAAGCCCTAAAATTGGGGCTTAGCCTTGGAAGTTTCTTGGCTTTGCTCAGTGAAGAATTCAAGACCAAGCTGGTAGTAGAAGAAAACAGCTATATTGAGGCAGCAGAGTTACAGCTCTATGACTTCTCCTGCAAAGCAGCACTACCCCATAGGCAGCGTGTTGAGAATAGCAACTCAAGGGCAGTTCTACAGTCATATTTATACCCACTTTCAATTACATGCAAATTAAGGGGAGAGTTATTCAGAAATTTCTAGAAAAGGGATGGTAACTTCCTTGGAAAGGAAGGAAGGGGCAGTAAGTTTCGGGTACTGCCATAGCAATGGTAAACTGTTATGGTGCTGGTAGGTGTGTCTTATGGAAAAGTGCTTTCAGTGTATCTTCCTGTTTCAACCAGTCTTCAATCTGGTCCACAGTTGAGTCCCACCTCCTACCTCAGTTTGGCAGTTTCTTACAAAGCTAAACATTTGGTAACATTACTACATAATCCAGCAACTGCACTCCTAGATATTTACCAAACTAATTTGAAAACATGTCCCAAGAAAATATGCATATAAATGCTTATAACAATTTAATTCATAGCTATCAAAAACTAGAAACAACCAAGATGTTTTTCTATATCTGAATTCATAAATACACTCTAGTATATATTAATACACACAGTGCAATATTACTGAGTGATAAAAAGAAATGAGCTAATAAGCCACAAAATGACATTAATAAATTTTAAGTGTATATTACTATTTGAAAGAAGCCAATTTGAAAAGGCCATGTAATATGTGGCTCCATTTATATGACATCATGGAAAAGACAAAATGATAGGGATGATAAACGTATCAGTGGTTGCTAGCAGTTGGGTGGGTGAGGGGAGTTGAATAGGTGAAATTATGCTATATGACATTGTAATGTGGAATACAAGACATTAAATAGTTGTGCAGTGGCTCACGCCTGTAATCCCAGCACTTTGGGAGGCCGAGGCAGGCGGATCATGGGGTCAGGGGTTCGAGACGAGCCCGGCCAACATTGTGAAACCCCATCTCTACTAAGGATACAAAAAATTAGCGGGGCATGGTGGCACGCGCCTGTAATCCCGCTACTCAGGAGACTAAGGCAGGAGAATCGCTTGAACCTGGGAGGTGGAGGTTGCAGTGAGCAGAGATCACACCATTGCACTCCAGCCTGGGCAACAGGGCGAGACTCCATCTCAAAAAAAAAAAAAAACAGTGGGGAAAAATATACAAATTGCCCATGCAGAAGAATTCCAAATAATTTATGTGGCTATTCTGTCCCCAAGGAGGTAAAGCATAGCTCCCCACTCTCTCAAGTGCGGGCTGTGCATAGTGACCTTTCAAAGAGTATAGTATGTAAGGGAAGCATGGAAAGAGTAACTATACAGTGGAGAAACTTGACAAGCAATACCTCAGCCAGCTGATGAACGTCCACATCAACAGTGATAAGACACATTGAAAGCATGTATCCTGAATATGATAGAATGAAAATGGAATATTGCCTCTATGGTTCTCCTCCCAAAAATGTTATGAACCCAAGTCTAATCATAAGAAAAACATCCTACAAATTCCAATTTAGGGACATTCCAGAAAATGTCTGAGCAGTGCTTTCAAAACTGCCAAGATCATCAAAAACAAGTAAAGTGTTAGAAACTGTCACAGCCAAGAGGACCCTAAAGGAACATGACACTAAATACAGTGTGGTATCCACTAAATGTAATGATACCATGAATAGAAAAAAAAAGGACATAAGAAAATATGAATGAAGTATGAATTTTATTTACTAATAATGTATCAATATTGATCCATTAATTATAACAATCATACTATATTAATGTAAAATAATGATAATAAGGGAAATGGTGTGCAGTCTATGGGGAATCTATGTAATATCTTCACAAGCCTTTTCTGAATCTAAACCCATTCTAACATTAAAAGTTAATCTAAAAAAACAATTTGCCAACTTCAGGGGATGATAAAGAAACAATTCCTCTTCCTGAAAAGTAGTAAATTAAGGAAAAGAATCATGCATTTATCCTGTCATTCCTAAATAAACTGGACTCTGAGTAATTTTGGTAGCTTTGTAATATGGCAATGTGGCTGGGCTGAATTATATACTTGAGAATTCCCTTTCCTGTGTGTTTTCAGTTAGGCTGGGTGAAAAAGATCATCGAAGGCTCATGCAGTATAAGGCCTGTAGTGGCTGCCAGCACAGTGGACAGGAGAGACCAGTCTTCCGAGAGTCAAGCTGCTTGATAATGCAGCCCAAAGTAAGTGGTAAACTTCATCTTTGGCTAAATATCAGCAAGATACTGATATTTAATAAACTAGTACAATAAGGGAAAGTTGAAAATAATTTTGAAAGGAGAGAGTGAGCAAGACAGAAAACAGTCTTTTATAACCTAGTTTAGAAAGTGACATCCCATCACTTCTGCCATATTCTATTCCTTATAAGAGAGTCACTGGTCCTAGCTTACATTCAAGAGGAGGGGATTACACTGAGCATGAATACCAGGAGGCAGGGATCATTGAGAGCCATTTAGAAACTGCCTACCACAGTTTGCTTTGTGACTCCCCATTGACTCACATCCTTCCACATACAAAACACACTCATCCCCTCCCAGAGTCCCCAAAATTCTCATCCCATCACACCATCCGCTCAAAGGCTAGAATATGGCAACCTCCAAATCAGATTGTATACAGATAGGGCTCCTCGGGTGTAGTAACTATTTATTTTCCTTCTTAAAAATTAAAGATGCTTGATTTCCAAATCTAAAACTTAAAAATATTATTAACTTCAAGGCAAATGCATCCTTCTTGTCATTAGCAAATTGTACACGATCTATCATATATATTCCAAAGTAAATATTTAAGTGCTAAAGAGGAAATACTTTAGGAGAGCTTAATTAACAATTGCCAGGTCCATTGATTAATCTTGACAAATGTCTTTATTAAATGTTAATGAGAATCTAGAAGACTGACGACAATTTCTGAAGTTAGCTGGCAGATCAAGACTCAGATACTTGATTAATACTAATTCTTTCCTGTCCTATTTTAGAGTGTAAAAATGACACTTGCGACATTTTTCAACTGATATCAAAGAAGTAAAAAGAGAAAATTTATTATGCTTCCTAAAATAGTTGAAACTTTCATTCACAAATGACAGAAGCACACTTTAAACTAGTATAAGCAAAAATGGAATAAGGAATTTACTTGTTCATTGCAATTGAGAAATGTAAGGCAGAGCTGGATTCAGATGCAAATGAGACCTCAAATAATATTGTCTTACCTTTCTGCTTCCCTTTCTCTCCAGCTCTCAGGACCACATTTTTGAGAATGTTCGAAAATTCTCCTCTTTAGGCACATATCAACCCATCAAATGACCATAGAACACACAGAAAGATCTCCTTTTTTGAATCAATATATAAAATTTCAGAGAAGGCCTCTGATTGGTCCAACCTGGATCACATGTACGTTGGGCTGATTTTTTTAATCAAGAAGCAGGGTACTGTTATCACAAACACACCAGAACTGGAGTAGAAGAGGGCCAGTCTCCTAAGGAAGGGCAAGAAATAGGGGAGAGCAGGTGGGAAGGGGATTTTACCACAGGAGGAAAGAAAAAGATAGCTGGACAAGCTAAAGCAGTTTTGTTATGCTGTCTTAATAGTAAATTGAAATCAATTATTATGTGAGTTATCCAGCTACATCTAAAATGTAAAAAGATACTAACACTTCAATTCAAGAAAGTTTACCTCGGCCAAGATTTCTCTGCTTTTGAAAACTAATAATCTTCATAGTCATTCCCATCTATTATGTATTTAAACTTTCAATTTGTTGGTATTTAATGCTACACACCATCACTAGAAGAAGAATTATAGGTATTTGCTTTTTAATCTGAGTAAAGATTTACCTTATCTTAGTCTGAGTTCACTGCTGTTGTAGTAGATGTTTAAATAGTTTTTACATATGACTCAACTGTAAAAGTTCTCTAATATAACTCTTCCAATAAAAAACATGGTATATGCAAAAACAACACATTTATAAAAGTAACCTAACTCCTGTAAGAAGGTGATACTACTGACATGTTGTTGATAATGTTGTTTTAAATTGTTTTCAACTACTTTCTTGGAAAATAAAATGATAAAAAAACTGAAAAATGAATAACTTGATGAGATATTTTAAGATGAACTCACTTATAACTACCACCCAGATCATAAAGTAGAATTTTGCAAGCCACCCAGCAACTCCTCCATGTAACTCATCACAGTAATAAGTCCCTTATTCTCCTAAATTTAATCACTGTTCTGACATTTGTAACATTCACTTCCTTCCATTCATTATCATGTTATCACCTAAGTATGCATCCTTAGACACTATAATTTAATCTTGCACCCTCTTTAAGAATCTGATGTGTCTTTTAAGTCTCTTTTAATTTATAGGTTTCTCCTTCACCCCTTTCTTCTTATATCTGTTAAATAACTCGGTGCATTTGAACTATAGAATATCTCAGCAGGTTCCTGTAGCAGTTTAATTATTTCAAGTCTGTTCCTTCAGCTCTCTTAATAATTGTGTAAATTGCTAATAATCCTGAATAAATCCTTTTCTGTTTAAACTAGTCAGAGTGGGTGCAAATGCCTATAGCTAAAAAATACACATATAGTGGAATATAAGATGAGGATGAAAGTTATCTTTAAGAAAATTTTTAGTGAAATTTTATTTAGAAATAAATCCAGCTGGGTGCAGTGGCTCACACCTGTAATCCCAGCACTTTGGGAGGCCGAGGCGGTCGGATCATGAGGTCAGGAGTTCAAGACCATCCTGGCTAACACAGTGAAACCCCATCTTTACTAAAAATACAAAAAATTAGCTGGCTGTGGTGGTGGACACCTGTAATCCCAGCTACCTGGGAGGCTGAGGCAGGAGAATCTCAAGTACCTGGGAGGCGGAGCTTGCAGTGAGCCAAGATCACACCACTGCACTCCAGCCTGGACAACAGAGTGAGACTCCATCTCAAAAAATAAATAAATAAATAAAAATAAATCCACATTATGAGAAATAATATTGCAGCTTAGTTTCTTCATGTCATGTAGACACCAAGACAACTCTTTCTAAAAGTGTTCATCTTGTATTATAGATCCATATGCAGATCTCTATCAATAGGCCAAGAATATGTGTTGATATAGATGAAAATCTCCATGCAGAGATGAGAAATATATGGCAAAATTTAGGTTTGTAATATTTCCAGCAAAACCCAAATTAGCTTTAGAATTTGAAAAGCAAATATGATTTAGCTTTTAATGAGCATAAACAATGTACATGATACCACCAAGAAATAATGGTAATCACCTATCTTCTTACTGGTTTGAAATGATCATACAACTTAAGGAAGAAGACAAAAGACTCAAACACAGACAATACTGTTAGCAAAAGGCAAAGTCTGCAAGTGTGAAGTGACTTTAAGTGTAATCACTACTGGATTTAATGTAGTAAAGATTAATGAAGATGCATAATGCATAAGTATTCCTTGAAGCTAGCTAGAAAACAGCAAGTAAGGCATTGACAAACGGAATGTCATCATTCTAATGCAATACTTTTATTGACTACCCTTATTCAGTAGGTTCAAAAGGAAATACAGAGGAAACAGCTAGAAAATAATCTAATAAACTTACCACATATTATATATGTTTTCCATCTAACCAGGCAATGGTCCAGAAATAAAATTAATGTTTTAGCCAATGTATTCTTGGCATTACCCAAAGTCGTTGAAAGCTCTTCAATAACAAAAACCATAAGAAAATAGTGTTGAGATACATAACATAGGATAGGAATGTGTAAATCATAATATCATAACAGAGATACTAATAGAAATAATGCTAAAATACCTGCACATTCACACATTATAAAGGAATATAAAGAAGGATCTATTCCAAAATCTCCAAGTTGGAATGATTCACTCTTTGTAGTCTAGGCATTTGGTTGGTCAGTTATGTCTTAATACCAAAATTCACTTGTATGTTAACATATGTCTACACAATACTGAAAGACAGCAGCCTACAACAGAAAGGACAGATGTGTAGCAGACACTGTGTTATTTGCACAAACTCTATTGTTATGTCAGATACTCCTAAGTAATGATAGAACTCTTTCCTGAGGACATGGGCAAAGATTCAGAATCTCAACTCAGGGATCCAGGCAGCTACTACTAATGGAACAAACATGGATGATCCTTGAGACTATGTCTATTTGCCCTCCCTGGCCTGCAGTAAATAGGCAGAAGGATAACCTTGAATTATTTGACAAGAGATAAGCTAAAAATAGCTGGTAATAAGCAGTAGAAATAAGTATCATTAAAATTTCCACCGAATGATGCTTCATAATGGAAAAGTTATTAACTTGAGTTTGAAAAATCATGTTTCCTCAACTGGTATGATAGGTAGTCGATGATTTAAATCCCTTGTTTTTCAAATCATAGTCAACCTAATCTTTTATACTCCATAGAGTGCTTATGTTAATTCCAATAAAAATAATATTTTATAAAAAATAAGGTACTGCTATGAGCATGTTTTTGAAGGAAGCAATGCATGTTTGTGAAGGAAGCACAAATGTAACACAGACCAACCATAATGCCCCAAAATTTAATATAGAAAAGCATGTTTCTTTGAAAATGCAAATTCAATTTTTATCTATTATTGAACTTCTATGATAGGTGATGCACCTTTGGAGATTACAATCCTATGTAGTGGTCCAAAATATGAGTTCTGGAATCCTAGTGCCAGGGGTCAAATCATGGCCCTGTCACTCCCTAACTGACCTTGGTGACTTCTCTAAGCCTGAGTTTTCCCATCTATAAAATGAAGTAAAAATATTAGCTATGTCATTGTGAAGTGGTATAAACTCATGATATATTATAATGCAACAGTACTACACCATCTTCAACTAGTGAACACTCAACAAGACTTAGAAGTTATTGTTTTTATTATTGTTATTGTTGTCATTGTAATACAAAGATCAATATGACTCATTTAATATTCTCAAATCCTCTTTCAAGAGTCTGGGAGCATAGGGTGGGAGGGGAGGTGGAGGATGGAGAAGTGGGAGGAAAAAACAGAATACATCTAACAGAATAATATGTTATAAGAGATAGAATAATATTGGCATATTGACATAAAAACTGTTAGATCAACTGATATCAGAATTCAAGTTCAGTGGAAAGGATTAAGAAGATCTTCATCGAGAAGATGAAATTTTGAGAAAGGCATGAGATGGTACCTATGATTTCAACAGACAGAAGGGTCAACATGAGCAAGCTGGAAAGAATGCAGAGGACATGTTTGGAGACTAATGAGTCAGAAATTAAGGAGTAGGTAAGGAAAAATGTGAAAATATAATTTAAAAGTTAGGCTGAACCATATGCTAAAGGGCCAAGATGCTGTGCTGAAAGTTTGAAATTGAATAAAACAAGTTAGAAACTCAGCATGTAATACAGAGCTAGAAGTCTGTTTGTAGAAACAAATCATAACAGGGTATTTTTATGGGACAATGATGACTCACCACCCCCAAAGTCAAAGGCCAGTCAAATGTGCTTTTTTTAAATTTTACTTTGAATTATAGTAAATAATATTTTTGTTAATATTCTTAAATTACAGGGAAAGTTTTGCAAAATCTAGTTAATCTCACAATTTGCATAATGTTACTCTAAACTGTCTGTTACCTTCTCAAATGATAATCAATGAAAATATACCATATAAAAGAAGTATACATAACTGCTGTTTTAAAACATGTATATAATACCCAGATAATAAACCACATTAAAAGTGACATCTTCTGGATTAAAGACTTAAACGTTAGACCTAAAACCATAAAAACCCTAGAAGAAAACCTAGGCATTACCATTCAGGACACAGGCATGGGCAAGGACTTCATGTCTAAAACACCAAAAGCAATGGCAACAAAAGCCAAAATTGACAAATGGGATCTAATTAAACTCAAGAGCTTCTGCCAGCAAAAGAAACTACCATCAGAGTGAACAGGCAACCTACAAAATGGGAGAAAATTTTTGCAACCTACTCATCTGACAAAGATCCAGAATCTACAATGAACTCAAACAAATTTATAAGAAAAAAACAAACAACTCCATCAAAAAGTGCGCGAAGGACATGAACAGACACTTCTCAAAAGAAGACATTTATGCAGCCAAAAAACACATGAAAAAATGCTCACCATCATTGGCCATCAGAGAAATGCAAATCAAAACCACAATGAGATACCATCTCACACCAGTTAGAATGGCAATCATTCAAAAGTCAGGAAACAACAGGTGCTGGAGAGGATGTGGAGAAATAGGAACACTTTTACACTGTTGGTGGGACTGTAAACTAGTTCAACCACTGTGGAAGTCAGTGTGGCGATTCCTCAGGGATCTAGAACTAGAAATACCATTTGACCCAGCCATCCCATTACTGGGTATATACCCAAAGGATTATAAATCATGCTGCTATAAAGACACATGCACACGTATGTTTATTGCGGCATTATTCACAATGGCAAAGACTTGGAACCAACCCAAATGTCCAACAATGATAGACTGGATTAAGAAAATGTGGCACATATACACCATGGAATACTATGCAGCCACAAAAAAGGATGAGTTCATGTCTTTTGTAGGGACATGGATGAAATTGGAAATCATCATTCTCAGTAAACTATCACAAGAACAAAAAACCAAACACTGCATATTCTCACTCATAGGTGGGAATTGAACAATGAGAACACATGGACACAGGAAGGGGAACATCACACTCTGGGGACTGTTGTGGGGTGGGGGGAGGGGGGAGGGATAGCATTGGGAGATATACCTAATGCTAGACGACAAGTTAGTGGGTGCAGCGCACCAGCATGGCACATGTATACATATGTAACTAACCTGCATATTGTGCACATGTACCCTAAAACTTAAAGTATAATAATAATAAATAAATAAATAAATAAAAAGAATGAAA